>NC_000011.10:33090303-33241818 GCF_000001405.40 Homo sapiens | reverse complement strand
ACCTCCCAATGGCTAACCCTGGAACATTTTAAACAACAAAATAAATGAAATAGTATTGGACTACATAACTCGAAGTAAAAAATAAATATCCATAAGCCCATGGTGATATAAGTAATAATTAAATAAGTAAATACATGGGGAAGAAGAGACAAATCTCCCATGCAGAAGAACTTTAAATAATTTATGTAGATACTCAGCTCTCAAAGAGAGAGACCATAACACCTCAGTCTTAAGTGTGGGCTACCCATAGTGACTTCCTTCCAAAGAGTACAGTATCAAAACGAGGGTTGAGGGAGGAGTAACTTTATGGTGACGAGACCTAACAAACGCTACTTTAGCCAGGTGATCAAGTTCAACATCAGCAGTGATGAATCATGTTGACACTATGTGATATGACGAAAGTGGCACTTTACCTCTGTGTTTTTCCTCCCTAAAACCTGTAACACCAGTCTAATCATGAGAAAAATATCCAATTAATTTCTTTGCGTGTGTGTGTGTGTGTGTGTGTGTGTGTGTGTGTGTGTGTGTGTGTTGAAATGACCGAGTCTCGCTCTGTCGCCCGGGCTGGAGTGCAGTGGCGCAATCTCGGCTCACCGCAAGCTCCACCTCCCGGGTTCACGCCATTCTCCTGCCTCAGCCTCCCAAGTAACTGGGACTACAGGCGCCCGCCACCACGCCCGGCTAATTTTTTTGTGTTTTTAGTAGAGATGGGGTTTCACCATGTTAGCTAGGATGGTCTCGATCTCCTGACGAGATCCTCACGTATTTTTGGCGTGAGTCACTGCGCCCAGCCCCAGTTAATTTCAATAGAGATGCATCCTACAAAATAATTGACCAGTACTCTTCAAACTTTCAAGGAAAAATAAGGAAATTCTGAAAAACTGTCTCAGCCAAGAAGAGCCTAAAAAAAACATAACATTGGCCGGGCACGGTGGCTCACGCCCATAATCCCAGCACTTTGGGAGGCCGAGGCGGGCAGATCACGAGGTCAGGAGATTGAGACCAGCTTGACCAACATGGTGAAACCCCATCTCTACTAAAAATACAAAAATTAGCCGGGCGTGGTGGTGGGCGCCTGTAATCACAGCTACTCAGGAGCCTGAGGCAGGAGATCAGTTGAATCGGGGAGACAGAGGTGCAGTGAGCTGAGATCATGCCATTGCACTACAGCCTGGGTGACAGAGCGAGACTCTGTCTCAAAAAATAAATAAATAAAAAATAAAAATAATATCATGTAACCTAATGCTTATTAGATACCTAATGTTCCAGGGATGGGATACTGAAACAGAGAAAGACATTAGGCAAAAACAGAGAAAGACATTAGACAAAAAGGATATCTGAATAAACTGTGAACTTCAGTTATTAATAATATATCAATATTGGTTCATTAATTGTGGCAAAGGTACCATGCTAATCTAAGATGTTAATAATAGGGGAAATTGTGGGGGTGGGGGTGGAGTCTATGAGAACTTTCAGTACTACGCTCTCAATTCTTCTGTATATTTAAAACTATTCTTAAAAAAATGAAGTCATCCAGGTGCGGTGTCTCACATCTGTAATCCTAGCACTTTGGGAGGCCGAGGCAGGTGGATCACCTGAGGTCAGGAGTTCAAGACCAGCCTGGCCAACATGGTGAAACCCTATCTCTACTAAAAATACAAAAAAAAAAAAATTAGCTGGGTGTGGTGGTGTGCGCCTGTAATTCCAGCTACTCAGGAGGCTGAGGCAGAAGAATCGCTTGAACCCGGGAGGCAGAGGTTGCAGTGGGCCGAGATCACACCACTGCACTCCAGCCTGGGCGACAAGCATGAAATTCCCTCTTAAAAAAAAAAAAAAAAAAAAAAAGAAGTCTATTTTCAAAAATGCAATTAGAAAATGTAGGGTAAAATAGATATAAAGTTCTTTTTTTTTTTTTTTTTTTTTTTTGAGACGGACTCTAGCTTTGTTACCCAGGCTGGAGTGCAGTGGCACAATCTCGGCTCACTGCAACCTCTGCCTCCCGGGTTCAAGCGATTCTCCTGCCTCAGCCTCCTGAGTAGCTGGGATTACAGGCACACACCACCACACCCAGCTAATTTTTGTATTTTTAAGAGAGACGGGTTTTCACCATGTTGGCCAGGCTGGTCTCAAACTCCTGACGTAGTGATCCACCCACCTCCCAAAGTGCTGGAATTACAGGCATGAGCCACCACACCCGGCCAGATGTAAAGTCTTTTTTTTTTTTTTGAGACGGAGTCTTGCTCTGTTGCCCACGCTGGAGTGCAGTGGCCCACTCACTGCAACCTTTGCCTCCCAGGTTCAAGCAATTCTCCTGCCTCATTCTCCTGAGTAGCTGGGATTACAGGGGCCCGCCACTGTGCCCAGCTAATTTTTGTATTTTTAGTAGAGACAGGGTTTCACCATCTTGGCCAGGCTGGTCTCAAACTCCTGACCTATTGATCCACCTGCCTCGGCCTTCCAAAGTGCTGGGATTACAGGTGTGAGCCACTGCACCTGGCCCAGATGTAAAGTCTAAGCACAGTGTCTGTTATTTATCATGGATACTGTAATGTAGGTCATCTACTCTTAGAGATCATTAATAGTAAAATTGTTATTATTTTATGGGCCTGTAAGAAAGAAAAACTGCTGCCAATTAAACTATGACAAAATGCCTTAATACCGGTCCTGTGAGATGTATAAATCAGTCATGCCAACCTCCCATTGCTTTGAAACAACTTCATCACTTATGACTGTCTTACTTTCTTCCATCTCATAAAGAATTGTCATTCCTTTGTAGAAAAACATTATGATATTAGTTACTCCCTGAATGACAAATATGTGCTTCACTAAATATCAAATGTATGCCCCACTGCTCTGTGTCTGTCCTTTCCTCATAAACAATAAATTTGTGTTTCAACAAAAAGTCATAATACCACCTTTTTTTTTCTTTTTTTGAGATAGGGTTTCACTCTGTCACCCACACTGGAGTGCAGGGGCACGATCATAGCTCCTCACTGCAGTCTCAACCTCGAAGGCTCAAGGGATCCTACCGCCTCAGCCTCCTGAGTAGTTGGGACTACAGGTGTGTGCTAATTTTGGTATTTTTGGTAGAGACCAGGATTTCGCCATGTTGCCCAGGCTGGTCTTGAACTCCTGGGCTCAAAGTGATCATGCCCATCTTAGCCACCCAAAGTGCTGGAATTACAGGCGTGAGCCACACTGTCAAGCCACCATCTTCATCTGAACATTTTAAACAGCAATTAAACCCAACACCTGTAGTACTAACAATGCACATAACTGATTTAAGTGACACAAATTTGAACAATTATGATCAAGTTCACCTGTGCAAGGCAAAGACAATTAGGTCACAAATGCTGCCTGGCAGATAGTAACTTTAACCTGTCATGCATTATAAAATATAAGTGACATCCTAATTTCAGAAATGTTAGCACCGCTGTGGCTCACGCCTGTATCCCAGCACTTCGGGAGGCCGAGGCGGGTGGATCATCTGAGGTCAGGAGTTCAAGACCAGCCTGCCAACATGGTGAAACCCTGTCTCTAGTAAAAATACGAAAATTAGCCAGGCATGGTGCCATGCACTTGGGAGGCTGAGGCAGGAGAATTGCTTGAACACGGGAGGTGGAGGTTGCAGTGGGCCAAGATCACGCAATTGCACTTCAGCCTGGGCAATAAGAGAGAAACTCTGTCTCAAAAAGCAACAACAACAACAACAAAAACTACTGGGCGTGGTGGCGTACACCTGTAGTCCCAGCTACTCAGGAGGCTGAAGTGGGAAGATCACTTGAGCTGGGGAGGTGGAGGCTGCAGTGATCTGAGATCCGGCAACTGTACTCAAGCCTGGGTGACAGAACGAGACCCTGTCTCAAAATAAATAAATAAAATAACCAAGAAGTAATTTCAGAAATGTTAAAATGTGGAAATGAAAAGTGTAACTGGCCAGGCACAGTGGCTCACGCCTGTACTCCCAGCACTCTGGGAGGCTGAGGCGGGCAGATCACTTGAGGTCAGGAGTTCGAGACCAGCCCAGCCAACATGGTAAAACCCTGTCTCTACTAGAAATACAAAAATTAGCTAGGTGTGGTGGCGTATGCCTGTAATCCCAGCTACTTGGGAGGCTGAGGCACAAGAATTGCTTGAACCCAGGAGGCAAAGATTGCAGTGAGCCAAGATTGCACCACTGTACTCCAACCTGGGCAACAGAGTGAAACTCCATCTCAAAAAAAAAAAAAAAGAAAGAAAGAAATATGTACCTTAGAGGGTTTAGATAAGTGACTATGGTACAGCCATAAAATGGAATACATTGCAGCATTAAAACAAATAAGATAGATCTTTACTTTTTAAAGTTTATAGTTTATTAATCTTCTTGTGAAAAATCCACAACAGCCACAAATAACATGATTGCAGCACCTTTACTCCTTCGGCTTTTTGCCAGCACCAGCACTGGCCTTTGCACTTCCCCTGACTGTCTTCATTCTGTTCTTGCGTTCCTTTCGTTGCTTTCTTGAGGTCTTTTTCTTCTCACAAAGGCCATGTCTTGCAAGTCAATGTTTGGATTCATTTTTCTCTGCATAATCCAGGGAATCATAAATCATGCCAAAGCCAGTTGTCTTGCCACCGCCAAAATGAGCTCTGAATCCAAATACAAAGATGACATCCGGTATGGTCTTGTACATTTTGGCTAGTTTTCCCTGAATTTCTGTCTTAGGCACTGTTGCCTTCCCAGGGTGAAGGACATCAATGACCATTTGTTTCCTCTGAAGTAGTCGGTTGGACATGAACTTTCTAACGCGGATAGTTACCGTGCCGTTCATGATGGCAGTCTATCCTCAGAAAGCCAGGGAGGAAAAGAACAGATAGACCTATTTTTATTTATGTAAAAAGATATCTAAGACATGTTTAAAAATGTAAGTCACCTATGATCAATTTCTGTAAAATAAAGACTAATAAATATACTAATGTTAATATATGCACAAAAACATATATGAATTTGTAAAAATAACATGTTTTGCTTACATAATCAGTAAAGAAAAAAGAATATAAGCAATCAGTAAGTCTTTGAATAAATTTAATAATGCTCACTGGTAAAATTTCTTCATTTTAAAAATAGTTTTAAGCAAAAGCAGTTAACTGGACCAGGACCGGTTCTAGGTGTTTTCCGATGCATTCTCTTAACTAACAACAATAACAAAAGCTGACTAACCACTTATCACAAGGAGTAACAGGGAAATTCCTGCAAAGCATAAAGTTTTGAGCTAGATCTCTAGGCCAAATTTATTTAGTACAGTTATGATATAAAGGGTGATAAGCAATTATTAAGTATCTAGGCCAGACTTGGTGGCTCATGCCTTTAATCCCAGCACTTTGGGAGGCTAAGGCGTGCGGATCACCTGAGGTCAGGAGTTTGAGACCAGCCTGGCCAACATGGTGAAACCCTGTCTCTACTAAAAATACAAAAATTAGTCGGGCTTGCTGGCGTGCACCCATAATCCCAGCTACTCAGGAGGCTGAGGCACGAGAATCGCTTGAACCCGGGAGGTGGAGGTTGCAGTGAGGTGTGATCGCACCACTGCACTCCAGCCTGGGCAACAGAGTGAGACTCTGTCTCAAAAATAAATAAATAAATAATGTGTAACCCATCTTAAAACACCATTTTAGGAAATACTACGCTGCTATAAAAATATACCAATTTGTTTTTGTTTTTGAGACAGAGTCTTGCTCTGTTGCACAGCCTGGTGTAGTGGCACAATCTCGGCTCACTGCAGCCTCCACTCCCAGGTCCTAGCAATTCTTGGGCCTCAGCCTCCCAACTAGCTGGGATTACAGTCACATATCACCACACGTGGCTAATTTTTTGTATTGTTTTGGTTTTTTGAGACAGAGTCTCGCTCTGTTGCCCAGGCTGGAGTGCAGTGGCGCAATCTCGGCTCACTGCAACCTCTGTCGCCTGGGTTCAAGCGATTCTCCTGCCTCAGCCTCTCGAGTGGCTGGGATTACGGGTGTGTACCACCATGCCCGGCTATTTTGTACTTTTAGTAGAGACGGGGTTTCACCATGTTGGCCAGGCTCGTCTCAAACTCCTGACCTCAGGAGATTCATCTGCCTTGGCCTCCCAAAGTGCTGGGATTACAGGCGTGAGCCACTGCACCTGGCCAGTTTTTTGTATTTTTAGTAAAGACAGGGTTTCACCATGTTGCCCAGGCTGGTCTTGAACTCCTAAACTCAGGCAATCTGCCCTCCTTGGTCTCCCAAAATGCTAGGATTACAGGCATGAGCCACCGTGCCTGGCCAAAAATACACTAATGTAACTCAAGGATTTAGATAAATATGTACTATCCTTAAAGAATAGACAAATAGGTTCTATCCTATTTCCACTTAAGAGAAATAAGTTAATCAGTGGCCAAAGGAGAGAAAATGTGCTTAGTAGAACCAGTTTTGTTCACTTTAGTTCAGTCTCTCTGTTGGTCTAAAATATTTAAAGAATGAATGGACTTTCATACTGATTCTCTACTAAAATCTCATCATATTACTTATACACAGACACACATAGGCATCTATGTGCATGCAAACACATCCAACTTGCTTATTCCCACTGTTACACCAGTACTCATCTAGAGCTGATAAAACACCAAATTATATGGGCACCCATCTAAGCAAATTAGGAAGTGTTGCTTTTCCTGCATTTGCAAAACAAATCCAACATTTTAAAAACACAGCCTAACACAGTTTCAGCTTTTGAAATGAGGAAACAGATGACTAGCTTAAGGAAATCCTAGACCAGATATTTATAAGTTCCAAAGATATCACAGTTGTTGTGCTTCTTTTTAAAACAAGTCTTTTCTAAAGAAGAATTATGACTAATTAAGTATGAGTGCATGAGCATATGCAGGAAATTTGATAAAAATCCAACAAATTAGGGCACAGTCCAGGAAAATCTCTTGGGGGTTATGTTCCTTGCAAGTAGATAAACATCTTTCTTTCTAAAGGTTAATGTTCTTTAAAGAGTTCAAAACTGGCATCATAGGAAGATGGTGCCATTTTGTATGTGACATTGTTGCTATTCCTTTCTTGTCAAAATAGAAAAATATTCTAAAAAGTAAAGGAAATTAATTTGTAAACACTGAGTGTAGTGGAGAGTTTAATTTTTTTTTTTTTTTTTTTTTTTTTGAGATGGAGTTTCACTCTTGTTGCTCAGGCTGGAGTGCAGTTACGCAATCTCGGCTCACTGCAACCTCCACCTCCCGGGTTCAAGCGATTCTCCTGCCTCAGTCTCCCAAGCAGCTAGGATTACAGGCATGTGCCACCATGCCCAGCTAATTTTGTATTTTTAGTAGAGACAGTATTTCTCCACTTTGGTCAGGCTAGTGTCGAACTCCTGACCTCAGGTGATCAGCCCACCTCGGCCTCCCAAAATGCTGGGATTACAGGCGTGAGCCACACCCCCCCACCCCGGCCTAATTTTCTTTTTCTTTTCTTTTTTTTTTTTTTTTTAGAGAGTGTCTCGGCCGGGCGCGGTGGCTCACGCCTGTAATCCCAGCACTTTGGGAGGCCGAGGCGGGCGGATCACGAGGTCAGGAGATCGAGACCACGGTGAAACCCCGTCTCTACTAAAAATACAAAAAATTAGCCGGGCGCAGTGGCGGGCGCCTGTAGTCCCAGCTACTCGGGAGGCTGAGGCAGGAGAATGGCGTGAACCCGGAAGGCGGAGCTTGCAGTGAGCGGAGATCGCGCCACAGCACTCCCGCCTGGGCGACAGAACGAGACTCCGTCTCAAAAAAAAAAAAAAAAAAAAAGAGAGTGTCTCACTCTGTCACTCAGACTGCAGTGTAGTGGCACAATCACAGCTCACTGCAGCCTTGACCTCCCAGGCTCAAGCAATTCTTCCACCTCAGCCATCTAAGCACCTAGGACCACCGGCATGCACTGTCACGCCCCACTCCGCTAATTTAAAAAAAAAATTTTTTTTTGTAGATACAAGGGTCTTGCTATGTTACTCCAACTACTGGGCTCAAGCTGTCCTCCCACCTCGGCCTCCCAAAATGCTGGGATTATAAGTGCGAGCCACTGCACTTGGGCCTTAAATTTTTTTTTAAATCCTGAATCACAGGTCAAAAATAAACTAATTCTTTGGATATTATTTTGTTTGCTACAACAAAAGTTTGCTTAAATATTCTGCAGGCCGGGCATGGTGGCTCATGTCTATAATCCCAGGTACTTGGGAGGCTGAGGCAGGAGGATGGCTTGAGCCTAGGACATCGAGGCTACAGTGAGCCATGATCTGCCACTGTATTCCAGTGACACGGCAAGACCTTGTCTTAAAAAAACACACACACACAAAAAAACTGCAGATCACAACTGCTGTAACGTAAACAAAAGTATCTATAGCTCAATAGGGTTTAACTTCTTATCAAATGTTACAGAATAGTTCTATTTGCTCCTGAATACTGAGTTCCATTACAGCTTTGCATCTGTCTCTGGGAATTATGTTACAAAAGGCCCAGCTTTGCTTATGTATTACTTTGTTTTAATATTTTCTAGTTCTTAAATAACACACTGTTAAGGCCCACATTCAGGAAAAAGACAAATCACTGAAAATGACAAAGTATCAAGTAGAAGCGCTATGTAGTGAACAAATTAAAAGGATTATTTTATTTCATAGCACCATCACAATAAAAATCATAATATACCCTTTTTTCTTCATTTCTCCAAGAAAAAACTATATCCTTATAAATAATAATGTACCCTATTGTAAAAGAAGATATCATATTAAATAAACTTCAACAGATAATCTTTACCTTAGAGCTACACAATTCCCACTTTCCCTTATACTATGAACATTCATAATAAGAAATTTAAATTTTCATATAGACAGATTTTAACTCAATTTTAACATGAATTTTTAAAGGTTAGGGACTCAGGCCAGGCACGGTGCTTCATGCCTGTAATTCTAGCACTTTGGGAATCTGAGGCGGGCGGATCATTTGAAGTCAGAAGTTTGAGACCAGCCTGGCCAACATGGTGAAACCCTGTCACTATTAAAAATACAAAAAATTAGCTGGGCGTGGTGATGCATGCCTGTAATCCCAGCTACTTAGGAGGCTGAGGCAGAAGAATCACTTGAACCCAGGAGGCGGAAGTTGCAGTGAACTGAGATTGTGCACTCCAGCCTGGACAACAGAGCAAGACTCTGTCTCAAAATAAATAAATAAATAAATAAATAAATAAATAAATAAATAAATAAAAATAAAGATTAGGGGCTCATACATAAAAGGCCAATTTCCTTTATATAAATATGTGCCTCCTACAAGTCATTAAGAGACTGCCTTGATTCAAAAATGGACAAAAGTATTAATATTTATACTGCAGACATGCTCATACATTTGTTAAATAATGTATATATAATTCTTTGTACCATTGTTTATAACAGCAAAAGATTATAAATAACCTGGAAATAAATTATGGCATATCCATACAATGGAATACTGTACAGCCATAAAATAAAAATGAAGCAGCTTTCTTTGCAGTAATATGGAACAATTACCAAGCTATATACTGAAGAAAGGAAGATCTAAATTATGTGCATAATATGCTGTCATTAGTGTGGAAGGTAAGGATTTATGGATAATTGTAAACATAATCTGAAAATATAATATCTCTGAAAGAATATTTAAGTAACCAGTAACGGTGCTCTCTCCAGGAAATGAACTGGGTAAGAAGGCGCCAGCGGAAGAAGGGATATTTACTTTTCACTGTGCTGTATATTCTTTTTCATCCTTTGAAGATATCACTAGGAGGATGTGACTTTAATTTCCCAAAGGATTGGTGGCACTGATTTGAGGATTGTGGAAGAGACTGTCAGCTACTATTCCTACCCAATCCTATTGAGTTACAAAGATGGGCTGTGGCAGCAGCCGAAGGCTTAAAGATCAACCAGGCAGGTCTTCAAGAAACTGGTCTCCATTTCACCTTTGTAGAGCCCTTTGCAGAGCCTTTTTTTAAAAATATATATATTTAGTGCTTTGTATTTCCTCAAAAAACTTCTAGTCTAGCCAGGCACAGTGGCTCACACCTGTAATCCCACCACTTTGGGAGGCCGAGGCAGGTGGATCACCTGAGGTCAGGAGCTCGAGGCCAGCCTGGCTAACATGGCAAAGCCCCATCTCCACTAAAAATACAAAAATTAGCCAAGTGCAGTGGCGCACACCTGTAGTCCCAGCTACTCAGGAGGCTGAGACAGGAGAATCGCTTGAATCCAGGAGGCGGAGGTTGCAGTGAGCCAAGATTGCACCACTGCACTCCAGCCTGGGTGACAGAGCGAGGCTTAGTCTCAAAAACAAAGAAACCAAAAAACTCCTAGTCTATCCCACCCCAAGAAATGCATCCTCTCATCTGTAGTGAAAAGAGGGGTTGTCCAAATTTTAAAGTTTTAAAACCCATTTTGTCAATGTTTTTTGCAGAATATATTTT
Source organism: Homo sapiens (assembly GCF_000001405.40). Taxonomy (NCBI): domain Eukaryota; kingdom Metazoa; phylum Chordata; class Mammalia; order Primates; family Hominidae; genus Homo; species Homo sapiens. Next base: position 33,231,354 of record NC_000011.10, on the reverse strand, counting down.
TCTGCATTATTTTATTTATTTATGTTTTTTTTTATTTATTTTGAGGCAGGTTCTTGCTCTGTCACCCAGCCAGAGTATAGTAGTGCCATCATGGCTCATTGCAGCCTTGACTTCCTGGGATCAAGCAATCCTCCTGCCTCATTTTTTATTTTTTATTTTATTTTTCTCAGATGGAGTCTCACTCGGTTGTTCAGGAGTGTAGTGGTGTGATCTCTGCTCAGTGCAACCTCCACCTCCCGGGTTCAAGTGATTCTCCTGCCTCTGCCTCCCAAGTAGCTGAGATTACAGGTGGTACGTGTCACCATGCCCAGATAATTTTTTGTATTTTCAGTAGAGATGGGGTTTTACTATGTTGGCCAGGCTGGTCTTGAACTCCTGACCTCAAGTGATCCATTCACCTCGGCCTCCGAAAGTGGTGGGATTACAGGCATGAGCCACCACACCCGGCCTTTTTAAAATGTTTTGTAAGCTGGGCGCGGTGGCTCACACCTGTAATCCCAGCACTTTGGGAGGCTGAGGCGGGCAGATCACGAGGTCAGGAGAGACCATCCTGGCTAACACAGTGAAACCCCGTCTCTACTAAAAATACAAAAAATTAGCCGGGCGTGGTGGCGGGCACCTGTAGTCCCAAGAAAATTAGCCGGGCGTGGTGGCCGGGCACCTGTAGTCCCAGCTACTTAGGAGGCTGAGGCAGGAGAATGGTGTGAACCCAGGAGACAGAGCTTGCAGTGAGCCGAGATCACGCCACTGCACTCCAGCCTGGGCGACAGAACGAGACTCTATCTCAAAAAAAAAAAAAATGTTTTGTAGAACAAAGTCTCACTATATTGCCCAGGCTGGTCTCCAACTTCTGGTCCAACTTCTGGGCTGAAGTGATCCTCCCGCCTCAGCCTTCCAGGATTAGAGGCATGAGCCACCACAGCTGGCTATCTAGTTTTTAATTTGTATACATTCATGGGGCACAAGTGCAATTTTGCTACATTGGTATATTGCATTGTGGTAAAGTCAGGGCCTTCAGTACGTCTATCACTGGAGCAACACACGTTGTACCCACCAAGCAACCTCCCATCATCCATCCCCTTCCCACCCCTTCATCCCTCTGAGTCTCCACTGTCCATCTACATACATTTATTTTATAAGTTCATTTACATTTATAGTATTTACTCTTATCAAGTCAATCACGGAGAACAATGAAGTCTAAAGTCATTTTGATGAATGTATAAAATAGAAATCGGGAATTATGTGTAATCATTTGTCTTACATCTGCGTCTGCTTCAAATTTTGTTGTTGTTGTTTGTTTGTTTTGTTTTGTTTTGTTTTGTTTTTTGAGACAGGGTCTCACTCTGTCGCCCAGGCTGCAGTGCAGTGGCGCGATCTCAGCTCACTGCAACCTCTGCTTCCCGGGCTCAAGGGATCCTCCCACCTTAGCCTCCCCCGAGTAGCTGGGACTATAGGCACCCGCCACCATGCCCAGACAATTTGTTTTTGTTGAGACGAGGATTTCGCCAGTATATGTTGCCCAGGCTGCTCTGGAATTCCTGAACTCAAGCAATCTTCCTGCCTCGGTCTCCCAAAGTGCTGGGATTACCGGCATGAGACACCGTGCCCAGCCCAATTGACTTTTATACTTTGTTTTGGTTGTATAGTATCACAATACTCATCATGCAAATATGGAGTCACAAGAAGTAATAGATGTTGGTGTTTTATGCTGTTGTTGTTTTTTTAACAGCGTGCCTTGGAACTTCAAGTTGCTCTTTAATTAAACTCATTTAAAAATACAGATCTGTAATAAGAAGTCTGTTTCAAAATTGCATCACTAATAACATCTAACAATGATCTTATAGACGTCAGATGAGAAACACCCAAAACTTACCATAAGCATGAGATCTATCCATAAGATACCATGAGATGGCATACTTTGCTCTGCATTACAAATTATTATTATTATTATTTTATTTATTTATTTTTTTTGAGACGGAGTCTCCCTCTGTCGCCCAGGCTGGAGTGTAGTGGCACGATCTCGGCTCACTGCAAGCTCCACCTCCCAGGTTCACGCCATTCTCCCGCCTCAGCCTCCCGAGTAGCTGGGACTACAGGCGCCCCCCACCACGCCCGGCTAATTTTGTTTTTGTATTTTTAGAAGAGACGGGGTTTCACCATGTTAGCCAGGATGGTCTCGATCTCCTGACCTCGTGATCCGCCCACCTCTGCCTCCCAAAGTGGTGGGATTACAGGCATGAGCCACCGTGCCCAGCTTTTTTTTTTTTTTTTTTTTTTTTTTTTTTTTTTTTTGAGACGGAGTTCTCTCTTGTTGCCCAGGCTGGAGTGCAATGGCGCAATCTCAGCTCAGCGCAACCTCCGCCTCCCGGGTTCAAGCGATTCTCCTGCCTCGGCCTCCCAACTAGCTGGGATTACAGGCATGTGCCACCACACCCAGCTAATTTTGTAGGTTTAGTAGAGACAGGGTTTCACCATGTTGGTCAGGCTGGTCTCGAACTCCTGACCTCAAGTGATCCACCCACCTCAGCCTCCCAAAGTGCTGAGATTACAGGTATGAGCTACCGCACCCAGCCCTACTCCTCCATTTTTTATTTTCTTGTCTAGCCCTTGCAAATAATGCAATTTATACTGCCAAAGTGATACATTTGTTCCCTTTTCATCACATAATTTATTAAAAGGATGCTACTTGTAAGCATTTGCAATTGAAAAGATAACTTCCCAAATAGTTCATTTCCTCTTAGCATTAGTCTGTAGTCCTTTTCTTGACAAAGATGCCTAAAGCATCATTTTTTGTCATAACAGCGATAAAGCCAAGACATCCAATTAGCAAAAAGCTTCTTCCTATTTGAGACAATAGCACAATTTGTTGAAATAAGTGCTTACTGTAAGTTCAAAATGTTTATTATTGTTTTTTTAAATATTGAAGAAATTTACAAAATGTCTTTTTTATTTGTTGGTCTTAAATTCCACATTCAGTCAAATATTGAAGATTCAACTCAAAAGCAGAATATGAAAATTAGCAGCAATTAAACTGATTTGGCGAACATTTAGCAGGACTGCTTACCAAAGCCACCACTTAAAACAGAAATTTCCAGCTCTTATCAGAAACTAAAAACTTTCAGACATTGAGGCATACCTGTGAGATCTATCTGCCTGCCGTGTTTATTATAACTAAAGCACACATCTGCCAGAAAATGGCTTCATGGACCTTTAAAAGTATGAGAAAGGAAAAGTGACATCATCCTTTGAGTCTTACCCTACCAAAAACTCAGAGATAAGTTTTACTTGTTTTTCTGACTGTTGAAAATAGGCTGGTTGCAACATAGGTGTCAGATTGCTTCTCCCTATGTCAACTTCAAGTTCAAATTTAGGAAGTCATTCTCCCATCAGAACATGTTGTACAAATTAACAATAGGTTTCTAAGCCATAAACATATTTTAATAGATCTAAAATTTTCCTAGGTTATTCTTTTTCCCATCTCATTATAAGTGCTTTGTAAAAAGTGATTGCTACTCCTATGAATCACTGAGGGTAAAATAACTTACCAGAATTGAGATTTGGAAGAGAATTTCCCAAGAACAACATAGTATTCTTGGATTTCAATGTTTTGAATACTCCTAGTCATAGATGGGTCTTTTCAGTAAAATACTGAAGGGAAGCAATTGTTGATTTCCTATTATGATTATCATATTAAATTAAGCAAGAACTAGGAAGGCCTAGCAAGACGTAGCAAGGCCTAGCAAGACCCTAAAGGAATGGGAGAAGGGACAGATGAGTTTTTCCAAGTGGAAAAGTATGAAGCATGAAACATTGCTTAGAGAACGGACAAGTCAGAAGAGTGAGTACTGTCACAGTGATAGAAAGGCTTAGGGGTAAAGGATGGTTTTTGGAAGCATCAGGGAATTCATTGGGGAACTTACACAGGGCAAAGTGCAGTGGGTTGTTTTTGTTTGTTTGTTTGTTTGTTTTTGAGACAGAGTTTTGTCCTTGTTGCCCAGGCTGGAGTGCAGTGGTGAGATCTTGGCTCACTGCAACCTCTGCCCCCTGGGTTCAAATGATTCTCCTGCCTCAGCCCTCCCAAGTAGCTGGGATTATAGGTGCCCGCTACCATGCCCAGCTAATTTTTTTTTTTCTGAGACGGAGTCTCACTCTGTCCCCAGGCTGGCGTGCAGTGGCGCGATCTTGGCTCACTGCAAGCTCCACCTCCCGGGTTCACGCCATTCTCCTGCCTCAGCCTCCCAAGTAGCTGGGACTACATGCTCCCACCACCACGCCTAGCTAATTTTTTGTATTTTTAGTAGAGACGGGGTTTCACCATGTTAGCCAGGATGGTCTCGATCTCCTCACCTTGTGATCCGCCCTCCTTGGCCTCCCAAAGTGCTGGGATTACAGGCGTGAGCCAAGGCACCCAGCCTCCTAATTTTTTGTATTTTTAATAGAGATGGGGTTTCATCATGTTGGCCAGGCTGGTTTCAAACTCCTGACCTCAGGTAATCCACCCGCCTTGGCCTCCCAAAGTGCAGGGATTACAGGCGTGAGTCACCATGCTCAGCCCAACGTGAAATTTTTAAGAGCTAGGCTTTTGGACAGAGGCTCTGGTAATATGCTTTCTTAATTTCTCGACTTGTATAGGCGTGATCCTAGGAATCACATTTGAGACACATGTCTCTAGTAAGCATTGCATGTTATTTTCCCACTTTGTAGGCAATTTGGTGACTAAGAAAGCAACAACATCAAATGGTGCTCCAGGAGGGCCTGGAAGAATGAATGTGTCTCCCTGGGTTACATAAACCCTTGGGAGAACCTGACTTAATTTCCTAATTTAAACACAAAAAAGGTGGAAGTCAGCCTAAATCATTGTAAGAAGTCTTTTTCAGCTTTGGGTTGCTATGCCTCTATTTGAAATTACAATGTATTATGACGTATGCTACTGCCTACTGAACACTAAGCAGAACTGTCTTCAATATAGTCATTGATTTTGCACACCTGTAATTCTGATGCAAAACCTGGTACTAACAGATCAATTACACTTGCATCAGGTGTGTAACAGACACAAGTTTTTAAAATTTATCTTGTTCTGCTAAATACAAGTTTTTTGTTTTGTTTTGTTTTGTTTTTGTTTTTGTTTTTGTTTTTGAAATGGAGTCTCGCTCTGTCACCCAGGCTGGAGTGCAGTGGTGCGATGTCAGCTCACTGCAAGCTCCTCCTCCTGGGTTCACGCTATTCTCCCACCTCAGCCTCCCAAGTAGCTGGGACTACAGGCGCCCACCACCATGCCCGGCTAATTTTTTTGTATTTTTAGTAGAGACAGGGTTTCACTGTGTTAGCCAGGATGGTCTCGATCTCCTGACCTCGTGATCCGCCCACCTCGGCCTCCCAAAGTGCTGGGATTACAAGCGTTAAGCCACCGCGCCTGGCCTAAATACAAGTTTTTTAAAAAGATTAATGAAGAAAGGCATATCCACGCTGAGGAGTCATTAATAGCTAGTAAATTAGTTTGTTCTTCAGATCTGAAAGAACTTTAATTAAGTACTTTCCATTTATTGGATTTTCTCTAGATTATAAGCATTATTATTTATAAAGAAATTAAGAATTTTAAATAGAAATATTTCATATAAACAAAATAACCAAAATAATTGTGTATGAATGACTCCCAAGAAATCTTCAAATACAAAATGTAACATATGATCAAAGTTGCTTCTCTTACAAAATGTCCTAAATTATTATCATGACTCATTCTTCAAAGCCCAGTGCAGGTTCTACCCTTCCAAAAAAATCCCCTCCAAGGACTTCAATTCAAAGTTTTTTCCCTACTTTTTGGAAACTGAAACCACTTCTCCTTGTACCTTAGCTAAAGTTTAAGACAATGTTAGGCACTTTTTTTTTTTTTTTTCCTGAAATGGAGTCCTGCTCTGTTGCCTAGGCTGGAGTGCAATGGAGCAATCTTGGATCACTGCAACCTCTGCCTCCTGGTTTCAAGTAATTCTCCTGCCTCAGCCTCCCAAGTAGCTGGGATTACAGGTGCCGGCCACCATGCCCAGCTAATTTTTGTATTTTCAGTACAGATGGGGTTTCACTGGGTTGACCAGGCTGGTCTCGAACTCCTGACCTCAGGTGATCCACCCGCCTCGGCCTCCCAAAGTGCTGGGATTATAGGTGTCAGCCACCACGCCCAGCCCATTAGGCATATTTTAATTGGATTTACTTTATGTCAGGGATACTGTGCTAAGAATTATGTAAAATGATCATTGGCCTGGCCCGGTGGCTCACGCCTGTAATCCCAGCACTTTGGGAGGCCAAGGTAGGCAGATCACCTGAGGTCAGGAGTTTGAGACCAGCCTGGCCAACCTGGTGAAACCCTGTCTCTACTAAAAATACAAAAAATTAGCCGGGCATAGCGGTGGGCGCCTGTAATCCCACCTACTCGGGAGGCTGAGACAGGAGAATCACTTGAACCCTGGAGGTGGAGGTTGCAGTGAGCTGAGATCAGGCCATTGCACTCCAGCCTGGACAACAAGAGCAAAACTCTGTCTCAAAAAAAAAAAAAAAAAAAAAAAGAAAAAGAAAAAGAGAAAGAAAAATCATCACACCTACTTCATAAGGATGGATTTAATGATCTATCCCTTTTTAGAAGGGAACTGAAGAACAGGGAGTTGAATTAACCACACAATGAGAGCCAGTAGTGAAGTCAGAGCTTGAAACAAAGCAGTGTGAAGTCAGTCTAATTTCTTAACCACGATGCTATAGAAATATTAACACTGGGGGGCTGAAAAAAAAAATGATGCTTTGCTCTATTCTGAATAAAAATTAGGTTACTCAAACTAGAAACGTTTAAAGAATCACATCTTTTAATAATGGATACAGATGCAAATAAAATGTTGTGTAAATCAGTGTACAATTATTTTATAGAATTTTATTGGAGAGAATACACAAAACTAGGCCTAAATAAGTCTTTTGAAAGCTTGTATTTATTACTATTAGTGCAGGCTAAAAGTCAAATCCTGAACTGTATAGTTTTTTTTGTAAGAAAGCAATTGTAAGTGAGAGAAAAAGAACTTATTTTCAAACACTGTAAAATTAAATGCCTAAACTGATTGTTTCTAGAATATTAGTGCAAATAAGTGAGTAGAAGGTGAAATTGCAATTCTATGTATGTAGTTATACTATGGTTATTGGTAGAAAGGCTAAAAAAGCATGACCTATTATTTCATATTTTCAGAAGTTTGTTTCTGCAACACATTTTGATCATGGTCTATTTTTATAGGAGCCTCAGGGAATCAGGACTAGGAAATATGTCTCTAAGGACACATATCAGAGTAAGTTTTTTAAAAGTCAACAAGTACTTACTGAATCTTTTGTGAGCCAATCACTGTACTGGGTGCTTTGGGCATTGCAAAAGAGCCTAAAATCTTATTTTGTATGTTTTTTAAAAAAATGCAGGCCAGGCCTGGTGCAGTGGCTCACGCCTGTAATCCCAGGACTTTGGGAGGCTGAGGCGGGCAGATCATGAGGTCAGGAGATCGAGACCATTCTGGCTAACACGGTGAAACCCCATCTTTACCAAAAATACAAAAAATCAGCCGGGCGTGGTGGCACGCGCCTGTAGTCCCAGCTACTAGGGAGGCTGAGGCAAGATAATCGTTTGAACCCGGGAGGCGGAGGTTGCAGTGAGCCAAGATCGCATAACTGCACTCCAGCCTGGGCAACAGAGCGAGACTCCATCTCAAAAAAAAAAAAAAAAAAATGCAGGCCAGGGTCAGGCAAGGTGGCTCACACCTATAATCCCAATACTTTGGGATGCCAAGGTGGGAAGATTGCTAGAGGCCAGGAGTTGGAAACCAGTCTGACCCCATCTCTACAAAGCCAGACCCCATCTCTACAAAAAATTTTTAAAATTAGCCAAGCGTGATGGCACATTCCTATAGTTCTAGCTACTTAGGAGACTGAGGCAGGAGGATGGCTTGAGCCCAGGAATTCAAGGCTGCAGTGGACTATGACTGTGCCACTGTACTCCAGTCTGGGCAAGACCCTGTCTCTAAAAAAGTAAATAAAAAATAAAAATACAACAAAATTAAAATTTTAAAATGCAGAAGCTTAATCATTCTACAAATTCAAGTTCCTCCTTCCATCAGGTGCCTACCATGTTTTGCATGTTTTCCCTAAATGTATATTTTGTTACTGTATTTATTAATGTTGGCTCTTATGTATCCTTATGTGATGGTCCCTATAGGCCAGTGAAAAAAAGGGGGGCCAGAAATCAGGTCCTGTGATGGCTCAGAGTGCTATGATTCTAACTAGTATGAAGGGTCACCTAAAATTTAAATATTTACAAAAGCATGTGCTTTAAAACACATCAGATAACAAATCCCACTAAATATATTATTCAAGAACCTTAAATGGCCTTGCCTACATACTATCTTTTCTTTTTTTTTTTTTTTTTTTGAGATGGAGTCTCGATCTGTCACCCAGGCTGAAGTGCAGTGGTGCGATCTTGGCTCACTGTGACTGCCTCCTGGGTTCAAGCGATTCTCTTGTCTCAGCCCCCCGAGAGCTGGGACTACAGGTGCACGCTACCACACCCAGCTAATTTTTGTATTTTTAGTAAAGACAGGGTTTCACCATGTTGGCCAGGATGGTCTTGGTTTCCTGACCTCGTGATCCACCCACTTTGGCCTCCCAAAGTGCTGGGATTACAGGCGTAAGCCACCGCACCCGGCCCCTGCATACTATCTATAAGTCCTCAAAAATATTTTTTAAAAAACATACACACGAAAGTTAATTGCACAACCTTGTGTTTGATAGAAAACATTGTATGGTTTTAAAATTCTTTCTTCCTCTTTTTTTCCTTTTCCCCTTTCTTTACATTTATAATGTCTAGTCAGTAAATCGAAGGCGACTTAAATTCTAGTGTGACATTAATGCAAAGTTCAGCATGGGACTTTTCTCCCAAACAATTATTAAACTCTTGCAGACTCATCAAGAATAATGAGAAAAGTTCAGGCTTTTATTTAATCTTAGTATTTGTAATAGAAACCCTTCCCTGTACCATACTTATGCATTTCTGTTTCTTTGTTAAATATTTACCCATTGCTTTATGCCTCTGATTATATGAACACAATACAAAAAAGTCAGTTCTATTGAATCATGACCTTAAAATTCCAAACACCTGTGAAGGAAAGATTACAGAAAGTAAACAAATAAAAGAAAAAACAAATTGGTAGCTAAGCTTAGCTGTAAAATGGCAGGTTGACTCTTTTAAATGACAGAAGTAATATTGCAATAGATAGGTGTACATTAGGAGTTAATATATAAGATGACCCTTTAAAGTCTTTTAAGGCCACGCACAGTGGCTCATGCCTGTGATTCCAGCAGTTTGAGAGGCCGAGGCGGGAGGATCACTTGAGCACAGGAATTCGAGACCAGCTTAGGCAACATAGCGAGACCCCCATCTCTAATTTTTTTTTCTTTTAAAACCAAGAATCTGGTTGTCTCAGGGTGTCATAAGTATTGTTTATGATTAGCAGCTCTTTAAAGTTTAGTTATTTCAAGTTAGGTCCTTTCTTTTTAGAGATACAGTTTGACTTTATTTTTCCCCAAAAGTTTCAAACGGTATAAAAGTTTTTTGTTTTTCTTTTTAAGATGGAGTCTTACTCTTGTCACCCAGGCTAGAGTACAATGGCATGATTTCAACTCACTGTAACCTCCGCCTCCTGGGTTCAAGTGATTCTCCTGCCTCAGCCTCCTGAGTAGCTGGGATTACAGGTGCCCACCACCACGACCAGCTAATTTTTGTATTTTTAGTAGAGACGGAGTTTCACCATGTTGGCCAGGCTGGTCTCTAACTCCTGACCTCAGGTGATCCACCTGCTTCGGCCTCCCAAAGTGCTGGGATTACAGGCGTGAGCCACTGTGCCCAGCTGGTACAGAAGTTTATAATCTCTTAAGGTTACTCCTAACTCCTACTCCAGCTCCTAATTCCCTCCTCCTCAAAATTACCCACAAGATTTATTCTAGTTTTCTTCTTCCTATATTTTTCCTCTCCTTTATTTATTTTCTTTCCTTATGTTTGTTTTAGAGACAGGGTCTCACTCTGTTGCCCAGGCTGGAGTGCAGTGGTGTGATCATGGTTAACTGTAGCCTCAAACTCCTCCTGCTTCAGCATCTAAAGTAGCTGGGACTACAGGTGCATGCCACCACACCTAGCTAATTTTTCTATTTTTGTAGAGACAGAGAGTCTCACTATGTTGCCCAGACTGGTCTTTAATTCCTGGGCTCAAATGATCCTCCCACCTCAGCCTCCTAAATTGCTGGGATTATAGCCATGAGCCACCTCAGCCAGCCTTCTTAAATATCTTTGAATAGCTAACCTAGGCCAGGGCAGTGGAGGCAGGGTCAGATTAAATTATTGATTACCCCTCATTGATTACCCGTGGTGCAATAAAAGGGCTGAAATCAGACATAAAACTAAAACATTTGAGTCAGAGAGTAATGATGTAAAAAGGAAAACATGGGTTTTTAAAAAATGGTTTTTCAAATCAATTTTCAGTACAAGTAACAAAAAAATTGTTTAAGAGCATTCACCATACCTAGCAGCAAGCAAGTCTGAACTGAAGCTAAAACTTAAGTGAAACTTAAGGACCACGGCTGGACACGGTGGCTCACGCCTGTAATCCCAGCACTTTGGGAGGCTGAGGCGGGTGGATCACGAGGTCAGGAGTTTGAGACCGTCCTGGCCAATATGGTGAAACTCTGTCTCTACTAAAAATACAAAAATTAGCCGGGTGTGGTGGTGCTTGCCTGTAGTCCCAGCTACTCAGGAGGCTGAGGCAGAAGAATTGCTTGAACCCGGAGGCGGAAGTTGCAGTGAGTCTAGATGGTGCCACTGCACTCCAGCCTGGGTGACAGAGCGAGACTGTGTCAAAAAAAAAGAAACTTAAGGACTAAGTAGGCTATGAAAATGAGCTGAGGCTGTGTAGCCTAGCTAAGAACATCTATGGGTACAGTTTCATTAAAACAGACTTAGGAAATCTATTTTGTCAGTGACTCCAGTTTGATGTATTTGATTTTACTCATTATTTTCTTTTTTCTTATGAAAAGATCCAACCCTTGGCATTGTAAATTGGTGCAAACTTTTCCACAAGTTGGCATTATGTATTGAGAATTACAAAAATATTTATGCCCTTTGACCCAGTAATCCTGCTCTTGGCAGTATATCTTTGGAGGAAAAAACTTGTTAAATGCATGAGATTGCAGCCTTAGCTGTAACAGTGATAGGTTACAAAACAGTCTAAATGAGCAACAATAGCAAAAGGGACAAGTAAATACAGATTATTTTGCAATTAGTAAAAATTAAAATTATGGAAACTATGTAGTAACTTGGAAAATAGCTTACGGGATAATGTCACTTGAAGTAACCGGGACACACATGTATATATACTTCATGATTCAACTATTTTAAATTGTGTTTTCAAAATGAGGAGACGAAAGGGGAATATATGGAAAAATAAAGAATATGGTTAAGTGGTACGCTTACGAGGCTTTTATTTATTTCTAAAATTCACTTTAATGTTCTAGTATAACGGTTTTTGCTGTAAGTAAAAATGTAGGTAGAGTAGTGGAAAATCCAACTTTGTTTCAGCTGAGTTAAATGGATGGGAAGATTTATTCATTTCTAGAACAGGTTAAATTGTGAGTCAGAGTGCCTTTAGAGGTGTGTTATATAAATCATCATCATTTCCGGGCACGATGGCTCACACCTGTAATCCCAGCACTTTGGAAGGCTGAGGCAGGCGGATCACTTGAGGTCAGGAGTTCGAGACCAGCCTGGCCAACATGGTGAAACTCCGTCTCTACTAAAAATACAAAAATTAGCCAAGCGTGGTGGCAGGCGCCTGTAATCCCAGCTACTCGGGAGGCTGAGGCAGGAGAATTGCTTGAACCCGGGAGGTGGAGGTTGCAGTGAGCAGAGATCACGCCACTGCACTCCAGCCTGGGTGAGAGAGTGAGACTCCGTCTCAAAAAAAAAAAAAATCATCATCATCATCACCATAATTATCATCATCTTCATCATCATCATCAAAATCACCATCATCATCACTGCAGTTCACATTATTGAGCATTTACCATTTTCCATGTATTGAATGAAGTGCTTTTTCTTTTTTTCTTTTTTTTTTTTTTTTTTTTTTTTTTTGAGACGGAGTCTTGCACTGTCGCCCAGGCTACGGTGCAGTGGCGCAGTCTCGGCTCACTGCAAGCTCCGCCTCCCGGGTTAATGCCATTCTCCTGCCTCGGCCTCCCGAGTAGCTGGGACTACAGGTGCCCGCCACCAGGCCCGGCTAATTTTTTGTATTTTTAGTAGAGACAGGGTTTCACCGTGTTAGCCAGGATGGTCTCGATCTCCTGACCTTGTGATCCGCCCACCTCGGCCTCCCAAAGTGCTGGGATTACAGGCTTGAGCCACCGCGCCCGGCCGAAGTGCTTTTTCATGAAATTTATTTTATGTATTTATTTATTTTTTGAGATGAAATCTTGCTCTGTCGCCCAGGCTGGAGTGCAATGGCATGATCTCAGCTCACTGCAACCTCCGCCTCCTGCATTCAAGCAATTCTCCCAGCTCAGCCTCCCGAGTAGCTGGGACTACAAGCATGCACCACCACGTCTGGCTAATTTTTTGTATTTTTAGTAGAGATGGGTTTCACCATCTTGGCCAGCCTGGTCTCAAACTCCTGACCTCAAGTGATCTGCCCGCCTCGGCCTTCCAAACTGCTGGGATTACAAGCGTGAGCCACGGCTCCTGGCCTTTTTCATGAAATTTATGTTCTTAGTTAGGACCTATTATAAAACCATAGAATCATATAGCCAACTACCTAGTTGACATCTCTTCTTGAACAGGCGTCTCAAGCTTAACATGTCCAAAACGGAACTTCTGATATTCCTTCCAAAACCTCCTCTGCCCACAGTCTTGTTCTTCTTAGTTAATGCCAACTCCATCCTTTCAATTGCTCAGGCCAGCCAAAAACAAAAAATAGAAAATAATCAATTGCTCAGGCCAGAAACCCTTAGAGTTGTACAATGGAGACCATCAGGACATTTCTCCAATTCTACTTCAAAATGTGTACAAATTTTGAACAGTTTTCACCATCTTCATTGCTAGCACCCTTGTCCAAACCATCTTGTGTTGCTCAGATGACTACAGTAGCCGCCCAACTAATCTCCCTGCTTCCATTCTTTCCCTTCCTTCATTTTATCCTCAACACATGGAAAACATCCAGAGGGGTGATTATTTTATTTTATATTTTATTTTATTTTATTTTAGTTGGACAGAGTCTCGCTCTGTTGCCCAGGCTGGAAAGCAGTGTCACAATCTCGGCTCACTGCGACCTCCGCCTCCCAGGTTCAAGCAATTCTCCCGCCTCAGCTTCCTGAGTAGCTGGGATTACAGGACTGTGCCACCACACCTGGCTGATTTTTGTATTTTTAGTAGATACTTAGTTTCAGTATGTTGGCCAGGCTGGTCTCAAACTCTTGACCTCAAGTAATACACCCACCTCGGCCTCCCGAAGTGCTAGGATTACAGGCATGAGCCACCATGCCTGGCCAGAGGGGTCCTTTTAAAAGCTAAATCAGGCCTTTGACAAAATTCAACAACCCTTCATGCTAAAAACTCTCAATAAATTAGGTATTGATGGGACGTATCTCAAAATAATAAGAGCTATCTATGACAAACCCACAGCCAATATCATACTGAATGGGCAAAAACTGGAAGCATTCCCTTTGAAAACTGGCACAAGACAGGGATGCCCTCTCTCACCACTCCTATTCAACATAGTGTTGGAAGTTCTGGCCAGGGCAATCAGGCAGGAGAAGGAAATAAAGGGCATTCGATTAAGAAAAGAGGAAGTCAAATTGTCCCTGTTTGCAGATGACATGATTGTATATCTAGAAAACCCCATCGTCTCAGCCCAAAATCTCCTTAAGCTGATAAGCAACTTCAGCAAAGTCTCAGGATACAAAATCAATGTACAAAAATCACAAGCATTCTTACACACCAATAACAGACAAACAGAGAGCCAAATCATGAGTGAACTCCCATTCACAATTGCTTGCAAGAGAATAAAATACTTAGGAATCCAACTTACAAGGGATGTGAAGGACCTCTTCAAGGAGAACTACAAACCACTGCTCAATGAAATAAAAGAGGATACAAACAAATGGAAGAACATTCCATGCTCATGGGTAGGAAGAATCAACATCGTGAAAATGGCCATACTGCCCAAGGTAATTTATAGATTCAATGCCATCCCCATCAAGCTACCAATGACTTTCTTCACAGAATTGGAAAAAACTACTTTAAAGTTCATATGGCACCAAAAACGAGCCCACATCGCCAAGTCAATCCTAAGCCAAAAGAACAAAGCTGGAGGCATCACACTACCTGACTTCAAACTATACTACAAAGCTACAGTAACCAAAACAGCATGGTACTGGTACCAAAACAGAGATATAGATCAATGCAACAGAATAGAGCCCTCAGAAATAATGCCACATATCTACAACCATCTGATCTTTGACAAACCTGAGAAAAACAAGCAATGGGGAAAGGATTCCCTATTTAATAAGTGGTGCTGGGAAAACTGGCTAGCCATATGCAGAAAGCTGAAACTGGATCCCTTCCTTATACCTTATACAAAAATTAATTCAAGATGGATTAAAGACTTAAATGTTAGACCTAAAACCATAAAAACCCTAGAAGAAAACCTAGGCATTACCATTCAGGACATAGGCATGGGCAAGGACTTCATGTCTAAAACACCAAAAGCAATGGCAACAAAAGCCAAAATTGACAAATGGGATCTAATTAAACTAAAGAGCTTCTGCACAGCAAAAGAAACTACCATCAGAGTGAACAGGAAACCTACAAAATGGGAGAAAATTTTCACAACCTATTCATCTGATAAAGGGCTAATATCCAGAATCTACAATGAACTCAAACAAATTTACAAGAAAAAAAAAAACAACCCCATCGAAAAGTGGGCAAAGGATATGAACAGACACTTCTCAAAAGAAGACATTTATGCAGCCAAAAAACACATGAAAAAATGCTCACCATCACTGGCTATCAGAGAAATGCAAATCAAAACCACAATGAGATACCATCTCACACCAGTTAGAATGGCAATCATTAAAAAGTCAGGAAACAACAGGTGCTGGAGAGGATGTGGAGAAATAGGAACACTTTTACACTGTTGGTGGGACTGTAAACTACTTCAACCATTGTGGAAGTCAGTGTGGCGATTCCTCAAGAATCTAGAACTAGAAATACCATTTGACCCAGCCATCCCATTACTGGGTATATACCCAAAGGACTATAAATCATGCTGCTATAAAGACACATGCACACGTATGTTTATTGTGGCACTATTCACAATAGCAAAGACTTGGAACCAACATAAATGTCCAACAATGTTAGACTGGATTAAGAAAATGTGGCACACATACACCATGGAATACTATGCAGCCATAAAAAATGATGAGCTCATGTCCTTTACAGGGACATGGATGAAATTGGAAATCATCATTCTCAGTAAACTATCGCAAGAACAAAAAACCAAACACCGCATATTCTCATTCATAGGTAGGAACTGAACTATGAGAACACATGAACACAGGAAGAGGAACATCACACTCTGGGGACTGTTGTGGGGTGGGGGGAGGGGGGAGGGATACCTTTAGGAGATATACCTAATGCTAAATGACGAGTTAATGGGTGTAGCACACCAGCATGGCACATGTATACATATGTAACTAACCTGCACATTGTGCACATGTACCCTAAAACTTAAAGTATAATAATAATTTTTTTTAAAAAAAGCTAAATCAGGGCCAGGCACGGATCACTTGAGGTCAGGAGTTCGAGACCAGCCTGGCTAACCTGGTTGAACCCTGTCTCTACTAAAAATACAAAAACTAGCTGGGCGTGGTGGTGTGCACCTGTAATCCCAACTGCTCAGGAGGCTGAGGCAAGAGAATCGCTTGAACCCAGGAAGCGGAGGTTGCTGTGAGCCAAGATTGTGCCACTGCATTACAGCCTGGGCAGCAGAGCAAGACTCTGTCTCAAAAAAAAAAAGCTAAGTCAGATCATGATCATTTCTCCTCTACTCAAAACCTTCCAGGGACTCCCCATACTCAGAATAAAAGCCAAAGTCCTAACAATGGCCAACAAAATCACTACTTCACCTGTGCCCCCTTTACTTCTCCGACTTCACCTCCTACTGTTCTCTCTCTCAATCACTTCACCCAACCACATTAACTTCTTTACTGTTCCATAAAAAATGTCAGTCATTCTTCTGCCTCAGGAACATTCTTCACTCATATGTCCACACCGCTCACTCCCTCACATCCTTCAAGTCTTTGTTCACATGTCACCTTCTCAATAATACTACCCTGACCATCTGGTAATTCTGCAGCTGCCCTCACCCTCCCAATACATCAGATCTCTCTTACTCTACTTTTTCCATGACAATCATCTTCTGTCATACTGCCTAATTTATTAAATCTGTTGTAGATTGTTTATATCCCTCTGTTAAAATGTAAGCTCCATGAGAGCAGAGATATTTGGATTTTTTTTTCGGTGCCTGCTGAAGAAACTTAACTACATCGTTACCATTTGGCAAAGGTAGGACAGTTCCAGAAGGCATATTGCAGAGCCATTATGCTATACTACTATAACTACTCCAGCCCAGGCCACTGGGAGGAAGAGTAAAGCTAGGGCAGATACAATAAGCATGAACTATAGACATTAATCCTCCCTGCCCAGAATGTGGCCTCCTGGAGCCCCAGTCATTTACCCTCCATGCTGTGTTCTTCAGAAGTCCAAACCCAGTTGATCTTAAAAAATGGAAACAGGATATGATGAAGTAAGAGAACATGAAACAGTAAGTCACTGGAACTTTGGTTGTTTCCAGACCACAGACTTTCTTGACTGGGACTACAGTTCTGTCTTCCTCTTCAGTCAGGAGGTCTGAAGACATTGGAATACCAACAGCAATTCATTATGACTAATTCCATGATTTCAATATAATTTGTCCTCACCAAAACTCTTGTATAAATGTGATTCCCAAAGTGACAGTGTTAGGAGGTGGGTGAGGTGAAGGCTGCAGTGAGCTGAGATTGCACCATTGCACTCCAGCCTGGGCAACAAAGCGAGACTCTGTCTCAAAAAAAAAAAAAAAAAAAAAAGAAGAAGAAAAGAAAAGGAAAGAAAAGAAAAGTTATTGCTTAAACAAAAATCTAATCTCCTTTCCTAAAGCCATTCAATTGATTTCTTCAGTTTAAAAAAAATCATCTTTATTGTCTAAAATGTTTTCATCTTGATTTATTTATAAAAATATATTTTGTTGGGAGCAGCGGCTCACACCTGTAATCCCAAAACTTTTGAGTGGCCGGGGTGGGTGGATCGCTTGAGCCTAGTTCAAGACCAGCCTGGGCAACATGGTGAGACCTCATCCCTACAAAAAATACAAAAAAATTAGCCAGGTGTGGTGGCACATGCCTGTAGTCCCAGCTACCCGGGAAGCTGAGGTGGGAGGATCACTTGAGCCTGGGAGGTCAAAGCTGCAGTGCGCTGTGATCATGCCATCACACACCAGCCTAGGTAACGGAGTGAGACCCTGTCTCAAATAAATAAATAAATGATATCTTTTGACAACTATTATATACACACATTCTTATTGTAAAAATGCAAATGCAAACAACAGAAAAAAATATATAGCAAAATATAAAAATTCCTCTTCATCTACCTTCAAATCCCTCTTTCCGTTCCAGAGAATAACCTTTCTCAAAGGTTTGGTGTGAATTCTACATATATGTATATATCGGCATATATATATCCAAAATTTTTTCTCTTGTAATAAATGTCTTTCCCTTACTGTGCCTTAAAGATTCTCTGCAGGTTAATACATAGAAATCTTATAGATTCATTTGTAACTACAATAAATTATTCTGTGGTATGGATTACCATAATTTATTTATCTATTGATAGACATTTAAATTATTTTTATTTTTATTTATTTATTTTTTTGAGACAAAGTCTCGCTCTGTCACCCAGGCTGGAGTGCACGATCTCGGCTCACTGCACCCTCCGCCTCCCGGGTTCAAGTGACTCTCCTGCCTCAGCTTCCTGAGTAGGTGGGATTACAGGCATGTGCCACCACACCTAGTTAAATTTTGTAGTTTTACTAGAGACGGGGTTTCACCATGTTGCCCAAAGTGGTCTCGAACTCCTGACCTCAGTCATCCGCCCTCCTTAGCCTCCTAAAGTGCTGGGATTACGGGCGTGAGCCACCCAGCCTATTCTTATTTTAAACTTTTCTTATTTACTCATTTATTTATTTTTGGGACAGAGATTCGTTCTGTCACCCAGGCTGGAGTGCAGTGGCATAATCACAGCTCACTATAGCCTCGACCTTCCTGGCTCAATAAATCCTTCTACTTCAGCCTCCTGAGTAGCTGTGAGTAGCTGGGACCACAGGCTTACGACACCACACTCAGCTTATTTTTGTATGTTTTGTAGAGATGGGGTTTCATCATGTTGCCCAGGCTGGTCTTGAACTCCTGGGTTCAGGTGATTCTCTCGCCTCAGCCTCCAAAAGTGCTGGAATAGGCCAGGCATGGTGGCTCACGCCTGTAATCCCAGCACTTTGGGAGGCCGAGGCGAGCGGATCACAAGGTCAGGAGATGGAGACCATGCTGGCTAATACGGTGAAACCCTGTCTCTACTAAAAATACAAAAAAATTAGCTGGGCATGGTGGCGGGTGCCTGTAGTCCCAGCTACTTGGGAGGCTGAGGCAGGAGAATGGCGTGAACCCGAGAGGCGGTGCTTGCGGTGAGCCGAGATCGCGCCACTGCACTCTAGCCTGGTCAACAGAGCAAGACTCTTGTCTCAAGAAAAAAAAAAAAAAAAAAAAAAGTGCTGGAATTACAGGCATGAGTCTCTGTGCCCGGCCTATTTTTAAATTTTCAAAAACAATTAATTTTTAATTGTGATAAAAATACACATAAC
This sequence comes from Homo sapiens, assembly GCF_000001405.40. Taxonomy (NCBI): domain Eukaryota; kingdom Metazoa; phylum Chordata; class Mammalia; order Primates; family Hominidae; genus Homo; species Homo sapiens. The sequence continues at coordinate 33,212,293 of NC_000011.10, read as the reverse complement.
ATAAAATTTACTATCTTAGCCTTTTTTTTTTCTTTTTTTTAAGACAGTGTCTCATTCTTCTGCCCTGTCTGGAGTGCGGGGGTGCAATCTGGAGTGCGGGGGTGCAATACGGAGTGCAGTCTGGAGTGCAGGGGCACTGCAGCCTTGAATTCCTAGGTTCAAGAGATCCTCCCGCCTCAGCCTCCCAAATAGGTGGGACTACAGGCACAAGGAACCACACCCAGCTAATTTTTGTAATTTTTGTAGGGTTGGGGGGTGGGGGCTCTCCCTATGTTGCCCACGCTGGTCTTGAATTCTTGGGCTCAAATGATCTTCCAACCTTGGCCTTCCAAAGTGTTGGGATTACAGGCATGTGCCACAGTGCCTGACCCTCATCTTAGCCGTTTTTAAGTGGATTGTTCAATAAATGTTAAACACGTTCCCAGTGTTGTGCAACTGATATCCAGGACTCTTTTCGTCTTGCAAAACTGAAACTCTATCTCCATTAAACAATAACTCTCTGTTCTCCCCTCCACTTAAGCCTTGGCAACCACCATTCTATTTTCTGTCGGTATGAATCTGATTAGGTACTTCCTATGAGTGGAATCAGGCAATATTTGTCTTTTTGTGACTGGCTTATTTCACTTAGCATAATGTCCTCAATGTTCATCAATGTCATAGCATGTGTCAGAATTTCCTTCCCTTTTAAGGCTGAAGAGTATTCCGTTGTATATGTATATCACATTTTGTTTATCCATTCATCCATTGATGGACACCTAGGTTGCTTCCACCGTTTGACTATTGTGAATAATTACCCTAAGACATGGGTGTACAAATATCTCTTTGAGACCTTGCTTTCAATTCTTTTGAGTATATACCAAAAACTGGGATTGCTAGATCATATATATATAGTTCTATTTTTAATTTTTTGGGGAACCACCATACTGATTTCCATAGCCGTTGCGCCATTTCACAATACCACCAGCAATTTCTCCACATCCTCATCAGCACTTCCTACTTAAAAAAAAAAAAAACATAGCTATTCCTGTAGGTTTGAGGTACTATCTCATTATGATTTTGATATACATTTTTCTAATGATTAGTGATGTGTATGTTTTCATGTGCTTGCTGGCTATTTGTATATTTTTGGAGAAATATCTATTCAAGTGCATTTCTTTTGGGGGGAGGGTGTGGGGACAGTCTTGCTCTGTCACCCAGGCTTGAGTGCAATGGCCTGATCATGGCACACTGCAGCCTCAACCTTCTGGGCACAAGCTATGCTCCTGCCTCAGCCTCCCAAGTAGCTAGGACTACAGGTATGCATCACCATGCCTAGCTACCTTTATCCATTTTTTAAATTGTTTTTTTGTTGTTGTTGAATTGTAGGAGTTCTTTATATATTATGGATATTAACCCCCTATCAGATTATATGATTTGCAAATATTTTTTCCCATTTCATAGGCTGCCTTTACTCTCTTGATTATGTCCTTTGATCCACAAAAGTTTACATTTCTGATGTAGTCCGATCTATTCATTTTCACCTATGTTGCCTATGCTTTTGGTGTCATATCCAACAAACCATTGCTAAGTCTAATGTCATGACACTTTTGTCTTACATTTTCCTTTGTAAGTTTTACAGTTTTAGCTCTTATATTTAGGTCTTTAATCCATTTTGAGTTAATTTTGGTATATGATGTTAGGTAAGGGTCCAACTTCATTCTTTTGGTTGTGGATCTTCAGTTTTCCCAAAACCATTTGTTGAAGAGACTGCCCTTTCCCCATTGAGTGGTCTTGGCACTGTTGTCAAAAATAATTTGACCATATATGTGAAGGTTTTTTTCTGAGCTCTCTATTCTGTTCCATTGGTCTGTTCGTCTTTGTGGCAACACCACACTATTTTGATTACTATAGATTTGTAATGACTTTGAAATTATAAAGGGTGATCTCCAACTTCTATGTTATTTTTCAAGATTATTTTACTATATGGGGCACTTAAATATTTCATACAAATTTTAGGGAGAATTTTTCTTTTTTTCTTTTTTGAAATGGAGTTTCACTCTTGTCACCCAGGCTGCAGTGCAGTGGCATGATCTCGGCTCACTGCAACCTCCATCTCCTGGGTTCAAGCGATTCTCCTGCCTCAGCCTCCTGAGTAGCTGGGATTACAGGTGCCCACCACCATGCCCAGCTAATTTTTTTTTTTTTTTGTATTTTTAGTAGAGATGGGGTTTCACCATGTTGGCCAGGCTGGTCTTGAACTCTTGACCTCAGGTGATCCAACCACCTCAGCCTCCCAAAGTGCTGGGATTACAGGCATAAGCCACCGCGCCCAGCCTGGAAGGACTTTTCTATTTCTGGAAAACAAAAAAATTATTGAGGTTTTGATACGGATTGCATTAAATCTGTAGATCGCTTCAGGTAGTACTGACATGTTAACAATATTATCTTCCAATTTACAAACATAAATGTCTTTCCATTTGTCTCTTTAAATTTCTTTCAGCAATGTTTTGAGGTACTATCATACTTCATACCTTATGGAATCTTTCCCCATATCATTAAATATTATTTGAAAATACTTTGGCTGGGTGCGGTGGCTCACCCCTGTAATCCCAGCACTTTGGGAGGCTGAGGCGGGTGGATCATGAAGTCAGGAGATCGAGACCATCCTGGCTGACACGGTGAAACCTCGTCTCTACTAAAAATACAAAAAATTAGCCGGGCGCGGTGGCGGGTGCCTGTAGTCCCAGCTACTCGGGAGGCTGAGGCAGGAGAATCGCTTGAACCCAGGAGGCAGAGTTTGCAGTGAGCCGAGATCGCGCCACTGCACTCCAGCCTGGGCGATAGAGCGAGACTCCGTCTCAAAAAAAAAAAAAAAAAAAGAAAAAGAAAATATTTTATGATCCATAATAACCCATTCTGCGGATATGTGATAGTTAATTTAACCAGTACCACATTTTCCACACTTGATTGTTTCCAGTTTTTCTCATAATAAAGCTGTCATAAATAGATACATATTTTTACCTATGTATCATCAATTCCCTAGAATAAATTAAGGAGTCAAGAGCATAAAAATATTAGTCAATGTTGCCAAATTACTCTCAGCAATGTAGCACCAACTTACAGTCTCACTATGAATATAAGGATGCCGTTCTTCCTTCCTACTCAAGACTGCTGAGTGCACAGAGTACTCATGGCAGAGCTGCCCCTCCCATGCTAACATTATCCTGTATCTTCTCAAAATTATTCACCAAATAAAATAGTGATCATTAGCATTGCCTTGTTTTAATTTGATTTTACTTAATAGTGAGGCAGAGATTCCCAGTTCAAAACTCAAAAGAGTGAGACTTTCATTTATTCATTCATCTTTTCATTCATTCAGCTGACACTTATTGAGCCCTTGCTCAATGCCACCACTATATTTGTTTCCAGTATGATACAATTATGAAATAAGGACAGACTCTGGGCTGGGCACGGTGGCTCACGCCTGTAATCCTAGCACTTTGGGAGGCCGAGGCAGGCGGATCACTAGAGGTCAAGAGTTTGAGACCAGCCTGGCTAATAAGGTGAAACCCTATCTGTACTAAAAATACAAAAATTAGCCAGGTGTGGTGGTAGGCACCTGTAATTCCAGCTATTTAGGAGGCTGAGGCACAATCACTTGAATCTGGGAGGCAGAGTTTGCAGCAAGCTGAGATCATGCAGCTGCACTCTAGCTTGGGTGACAGAGTGAGACTCTGTCTCAAAAAAAAAAAAAAAAAAAAAGAGACAGACTCTGCCACAGGGTACATACAAAGGCACCCTACAGTGAGTGACAAAGCAAAGCATCTTTTGAGAATGCACATGTTTGGGGTGGGGATGGAGGACTTGGGGAAAATTAGTGGATTATTACCATAAAAACCTAATAACCATATAGAAGATATCTTCAGCCAATGCAGTTCCAGCTTTTACCTCTAAGACATGTATAGCTCTGATGGTCTGACGGTAAGATGGAGGTGGGAAGGAGAAGGAGGTAGAATAGGCTACAGAACATCCAAGAGCTAGGAATCTAAATCACAGGGTTTATCCTAAACATTCATGAACATTTTCTATTCTATGCTGCCATATTTGTCATGAAATTAAGATATTTTAAATCAGGCACCATTCAGAAAAATTGAGAGTCCCAGAAGATACCCTCTATTACTTTTCCATGACACCGCTGCCTATTTCGAGGGATATGACTGTTAAGTGACTGGCTGACTCCCGTTTGAGAAGCATGAGGCTAGTTTCAGGCCACCAGAGCTGAAATTCACCTAAGGACCTGGTAAATAATGGTGCCCCTTTTAAGTTTTCATACAAGTCAACAGTTGGAGCAGGAATTCACTTGGAAAGGAAAGAGAAGCTGAGCATGCTAGCTTAGTTGGGATATGGGAGGGGCACTGTTAAGTAAGAGGTGACACAGCCTTCCAGGCCAGCCCCACGTGCCCATGTCAGGCCCCCCTGGAATAAAAACCAAATCAAATAAAACAGCTGCTGCCTTCTTTGAAGCCCTGCAGGAAACTGGAAGCAGAGGCTCCCCCGCTTTCCTTAAGAGCAATCGTGACCATGGAAATGAGGCAGGGAGGACGGATGGCTGGGGCAGAGGAGAGGCAACCACCACCAGCAAGGTGGCTCAGCAGTTCCTGGAACCAGAACACAGACATTTCCAGGAGATGGAGGGAAGGGTGGGGGTTGAAGTTCCAGCAATTTCACTGCTGGGCCCTGAGCCAGAGACCCATAGTTTTCCAATGCACTCCCAGCTAAGGGATATAGTGAGCTGGGTGAGGTAAGGCCAAGAGCTGGAGCTGTTCACATCAGTCACTTACTCACTGTGTGACCTGGGACAAATGACTTCATCTCTCTGATCCTGTTTCCTCATTTATAAAATGGTGATAAACAGTGTAAAACGATTATTGTAGAGACTTAAATAATTTCTGGGAAGTTTTGAGTGCACTTGCCCTGATATAATAAAAACATACATAACAATAACATTTTCATTAAAACTGTGGTTCTCAGCCGGGAGTGGTGGCTCACGCCTGTAATCCCAGAACTTTGGGAGGCTGAGGTGGGTGGATCACCTGAGGTCAGGAGTTCGAGACCAGCCTGGCCAATATGGCGAAATCCCGTCTCTACTAAAAATACAAAAATTAGCTGGGAGTGGTGGTAGGCGCCTGTAGTCCAGCTACTAGGGAGGCTGAGGCAGGAGAATTGCTTGAACTTGGGAGGCGGAGGTTGAAGTGAGGCGAGATCGCACCACTGCACTCCAGCCTGGGTGACAGAGTGAAACTCTGTCTCAAAAACAAAACAAAACAATAACATTTTCATTAAAACTGTGGTTCTCAACACAGCTAAAACTTCTCAAGAGGCATTTTAGATTCTGTAGGAGTACCTTTAGATGTCACAATGATTGGAAGTGCTATTGGCATTTAACGGACAAAATCCGGGGATGCTGTTCACACCAAAGAATTATCCTGGGTCCCTCACAACTTTTGATGTCTCTGCAAACATTCATATCAGTGAGAAACCTGAGCCTGGAACCTATCTTCATTTTTCACATAAATACAAAGTTTCCTCCCAATTTTAGTATACACTGGCTTTTCTAGAAGCAGACCTTTTAGGTAAAGTGAGGAAAGATTGTCTTTTGTTTGGTTCGTAATTTTACACACAGTTTTTTACCATTTCAGGAAAAAAAATCACTAACAGTCACAGTTCTCATGGCATTCTAGTCACTAGCTCAACACATTTGTAGCAGTCTGCATTTATAGCTGCTACATGCACAATGATTCCAGGTATAGGTGCAAACATGTGGCTGCCTCATCGTTTTGAAACGTAGTCATGCCTGTGCATTAATGAGTTGAGATATATATTTTATTATAAAATACTTTTATTTCCCTTTTATATTTAAGTTAGGACCATATATTAGTCAACGTTCTCCAGAAAAACTGAAGCAATAGGGGATATATGAATATACAGATGGAGATTTATTACGGGAATTGTTTCACACAATTGTGGGAGCTGAGAAATCCCGTGGTCTGCCATCTGCAGCTGGAAAACCAGCAAAGCCAGTGGTGTAATTCAGTCTGAGTTGGAAGGCCTGAGAAGGATGGGCTGGGAGTGGAGGGATGGCACAGTGGTATAAGATGGTAACATGGTGTAAGTCCTGGTATGAAGTCTGAGTCCAAAGGCTAGAGAACCAGGAACACCAGTGCTTAAGGGCAGGAGAATATAAATGTTCTAACTCAAAGACAGCGAATGTGCCCTTTCTCCATCTTGTTGTTCTATTTATGCCTCAACTGTTTGGGTAATTAATTCCAGAAATGTGTTTCCAGCTATCTGGGCATCCTTTAACCCAGTCAAGTTGACACATAAAATTAATGGCCAGGAACAGGGGCTTATGCCTGTAATCCCAACACTTTGAGAGGCCGAGGCGAGTGGATCACTTGAGCCTAGGAGTTTGAGACCAGACTGGGCAACATGGCAAAACCTTGTCTCTACCAAAAAAATACAGAAATTAGCTGGATGTGGTGGTGTATGTCTATAGTCCCAGCTACTTGAGTCCAGGAGACGGAGGTTGCAGTCAGCCAAAATTACACCATCATACTCCAGCCTGGGCAACAGAGCCAGACCCTATCTCAAAAAAAAAAAATTAAATAAATAGGCTGGGGCACAGTGGCTCACACCTATAATCCCAGCACTTTCAGAGGCTGAGGCAGGCGGATCACAAGGTCAGGAGCTGGAGACCAGTCTGGCCAATATGGTGAAACCCCATCTCTACTAAAACTACAAAAATTAGCCGGGCGTGGTGGCAGGTGCCTGTAAGTCCCAGCTACTTGGGAGGCTGAGACAGGAGAATCACTTGAACCTGGGAGGCAGAGGTTGCAGTGGGCTGAGATCGTGCCACTACACTCCAGCCTGGGCAACAAAGTGAGACTCCGTCTCAAAAAATAATAGTAATAAATAAACAAATAAATAAATAAAATTAACCATCTTGTGACATTTGGGGTTGGATGATTTTTTAAAAATTAACCTTCACAGGCCTTCACATTTTTGCATGTAAAAATGGGTTATTGCGTCAACTAATTTTATTTTGGGAAAATAAAGGAGATGTTATGAAGTTATTTGTATTTGTAAAAGAGGAATAATCCTATTAGAACTCTCTCCTTCAAGGGAAAACTGCCTTCCCGATAGCATAGTGATAATGACACCTGAGGCACAAATGAATAGTCCTTCATTTTACATATTCATGTGTGCAGTTGCTTTGTGCACATACAGAATACCCATGAGATTCAAGGAAATCCTTATGTGGTATATATACCAGGCAAATCAGTGTTCCCTCTTCCATTTGCTAGTAAACGTTGTTGTTGTTGTGACAGGGTCAGGCTCTGTCGCCCAAGCTGGAGGGCAGTGGCATGATCTTGGCTCACTGCAACCTCTGCCTCCCAGGTTCAAGTGATTCTCCTGCCTCAGCCTTCCAAGTAGCTGGGATTACAGGTGTGTGCCACCATGCCTGGCTAATTTTTGTATTTTTAGTAGAGACAGGGTTTCACCATGTTGGCCAGGCTGGTCTCTAACTCCTGACCCCAAGTGATCTGCCCACCTTGGCCTCTCAAAGTGCTGGGATTACAGGCATGATGAGCCACCACACCAGGCCAGCCAGTCAAAGTTTTGAGCTTGAATAATCAGATCCTCAGGAATCAGGGAATCCCAGTTTAATAGAAAGTCAAATAGAGATGAGACGAAGAAAGAGGAAGACTCCCCAGATATCTAGATGCCAGGCAAAAATAATAATAATGTCAGTTAATATTAATGACTGGGTTACATGTCAAGGTTTTAATCTCACATACTAAATATTATATCATTTAATCTTTGCATCAACTCTATGAAACAGGTACTGTTATTATTGTTCCAATTTACATATGAGAAAACTCAAAGAGTGTGAGCAATATCCTTAATGTCACTCTGCTAGTAAATAGTAGAGACTCAGGTCTATCTTACGCCACAGCCCAAGCTCGTGACCTCAGCATTAGATGGAAAACAACAACTTTATTATTTATTTATTTATTTTGAGACAGAGTCTCACTCTGTTGCCCAGGCTGGAGTGCAGCGGTGAGATCTCGGCTTACTGCAACCTTTGCCTCCCAGATTCAAGCCATTCTCCTGCTTCAGCCTCCCAAGTAGCTGGGATTACAGATGCATGCCACCATACCCGGCTAATTTTTGTATTTTTAGTAGACACCCGGTTTCACCATGTTGGGTAGGCTGGTCTCAAACTCCTGGCCTCAAGTAATCTGTCCATCTTGGCCTCCTAAAATGCTGGGATTACAGGCATGAGCCACCACATCCAGCTGAGCACACCTTTAATTGGAGAAGAAAATGTTTATTCAGACCTAGAGAAATGTAGTGAAGAGAGTGCAGAAAAAAATGATCACTGAAACGCCATTCGGGAACCCAAGTCTCAGAATTGGTTTTTGCCACTGACTGCTGCGTGACCTTGGATATGGAGAGGTAATGTCATGAAATGATTTAAAAGTATGAGCCTAGAAAACAGGTGTCTGAATTCAAAGCCCAGCTCTGTTGCCTACTTGTAAACTTAGGCCAGTTATTGACCATTCTGTGCCTTAGTTTCCTCATTGGTGATACAGGGGTTATAGAAAACTGTCATCCATATTGTCAGCATTCAATCATTATTAGCTATAGTGTCAGTTAGGGTTGGCTAATCCCTTACAACAAAAAGACCCCATGCCACCTGTCAGGTTATTTGGGATCAGACTCTGAAATGGAGGTTTGCCTTTTATTCTGGAGGGGATGTCTCAGCATAACCCAAGCTACTTGGACTCCAGAACATGTTATGTAGCAGGACCCTGAATCTTTGTAGGGTTTATCTCCCACCCTCTGGAGGTCTGTGTTTTACCAAAGCCCAGTGTACTTGCCCCAGGCAGTTCAATTAACATGATATAATCAGTAAAATTGACTAATGTGGGTCAGGCATGGTGGCTCATGCCTATAATCCCAGCACTTTGGGAGGCCAAGGCCGGCAGATCACTTGAGGCCAGGAGTTCGAGAGCAGCCTGGCCAACACGGTGAAACCCCATCTCTACCAAAAATACAAAAATTAGCCAGGCATGGTGGTGGCGCACCTGTAATCCTAGCTACTCCAGAGGCTGAGGCAAGAGAATCACTTGAACCGTGAGGCTGCAGTGAGCCAAGATCATGCCACTGCACTCCAGCCTGGGCAACAGAGTGAGACTCTGTCTCAAAAAAAGAAGGACTAAAGTGATACTCTGAAGAATGCCCACATGGCCTGGGCAAGACCCCTAAATGTATACAAATTTCTTCTAATTCTTCTTTCGGATAGGTTTGGAAAAGAAATTATTCATCAGACCAATGGCTGCATACCATGAATCTGAGGCCATTAAATTTGCTGTAGCAAGGATATTATACCATGCACAGCAACTGCAATTGAGACTACTACTTGTTTGCATTTGCTTTATCCTCCAGGACTCATCTGGCTTTTGAAGAGGTGAGACTGAAAAATTAAGTGAAGATATGGTCAGCATTGTATTGGAAGTACTGGCTAGTTTAATAAAACAAAAAAAGGAAACAAAAGGTATATAGATTCAGAAGGAAAAAATAAAACTCTGCAGATGACATGATCATCTATATAGAAAATCTCAAAGAATCTATCGAAAAATTGCTGGAACTAAAAAGCAAGTATAGCAAGTTTGCAGGACATAAGATTAATATACAAAAGTGAACTGATTTCCTATATGTACAAGCAGTGAAGAATTGGAATTTGAAATTTTAAAAACAATATCGTTTACAATAGCACCAAAATTTGAAATACTTAGGTATAAATCTAATAAAATATGTGCAAGGCCTATATGTAAAAAACAACAAAACTCTGATGAAAGAAATCAAAGATAATCTAAATATATAGAAAGATAGTCCATGTTCAATGATTGGAAGACAATATTATTAGGATGTCAGTTCTTCCCAACCTCATTTATAGATTCAGCGCAATTCCAATCAAAATCCCAGCAAGTAGATATTGACAAAATGATTATTTTTTTCTTTTCTTTCTTTTTTTTTTTTTTAGATGGAGTCTCGCTCTGTTGCCCAGGCTGGAATACAGTGGCACAATATTGGCTCACTGCAAACTCCACCTCCTGGGTTCAAGCGATTCTCCTGCCTCAGCCTCCCGAGTAGCTGGGATTACAGGTGCGTGCCACCACACCTGGCTAATTTTTGTATTTTTAGTAGAGATGGGGTTTCACCACGTTGGCCAGGCTGGTGTTGAACTCCCAACCTCAGGTGATCCACCTGCCTCGGCCTCCCAAAGTGCTGAGATTACAGGTGTAAGCCACCGTGCCTGGCCAACAAAATGATTCTGAAGTTTGTATGGAAAAGCAAAAGATCTAAAATAGCCAACACAATACTGAAGAAGAACAAAGTTGGAAGACTCACACCATCTAATAGCAAGACTTACTCTAAAGGTACAGTAATTAAGACAGCATGGCATGATCTCACTTGTATGTGGAATCTAAAAAAATGTTGAACCCATAGTAACAGAGAGTAGAATGAATGATACCAGGGGCTGGGGGATGGGAGCAAAGGGAAGAAATTAGTCAAAGAGTACAAACTTTTAGTTATAAGGTGAATGAGTTCTGGAGACTTAATGTTCAGCATGGTGATTATAGTGAATAACAATGTATAGTATACTTGAAATTTGCTAAGAGAGTAGAACTCAAGTGTTCTCACACTGCAGACACACGCACACACACACACACACAATGGTAACTAAATGATATGATAGATATATCAGTTAGCTTGATTGTGGTAATCATTTCACAATGTACACATATATCAAAACATCACATTGTACACCTTAAAAATATTCAATTTTTATTTGTCAATCATACCTCAATAAAGTTAAGGGGCAAAGATGGCATGGTAGTGACAAAAGAATACATATATAGGGTCAGGTCGAGTAGCTCACACCTATAACCTCTGCACTTTGGGAGGTCGAAGTGAGAGGAGCACTTGAGGCCAGAAGTTCAAGACCAGCCTGGGCAACGTAACAAGATTCCATCTCTACAAAAAATTTTAAATAAATTATCTGGGTATGGTGGCACGCACCTGTAGTCCTAGCTACTTGGGAGGCTGAGGCGGGAGGATCACTTGTGCCCAGGAGTTCGAGGCTGCAGTGAGCTATGATTGCACCACTGCATTCCACACTCCAGCCTGGGTGACAAAGCAAGACCCTGTCTCTCAAGAAAAGAAAGAAAAGAAAAAGAAAAGAAAGGAGGGAGGGAGGGAAGGAAGAAAGGAAGGAAAGAAGGAAGGAAAGAAGGAAGGAAGGAAGGAAGGAAGGAAGGAAGGAAGGAAGGAAGGAAGGAAGGAAGGACACATTGATCCATGGAAGAGTCTACAGAGCCCAGAAATAGGCCAGCACAAATGTAGCCAACTGATCCTTGGCAAAGAAGAAAAGGCAGTTCAATAGAGAAAAGATGGTGCTGGAATGATTTGGTGTGCATAAAAGAGAAAAAGAAAGCAAGAAAGAATCTAGATATACACCTCACCTTATACCTTTCACAAAAATTAACTCAAAGTGGATCTTAGAACTAAATGTAAAATGCAAAACTGTAATATCTCTGGAAGAAAATATTTCTGTGTTCTCTAGGTGACCTCGAGTTTGGTGATAAATTGTTTTGTTTTTTTTTTTCCTTGTGAGACGGAGTTTCGCTCTTGTTGCCCAGGCTGGAGTGTAATGGCACGATCTCGGCTCACTGCAACCTCCACCTCCCAGATGCAAGCGATTCTCCTGTCTCAGCCTCCCAAGTAGCTCGGATTACAGGCATGCACCACCAGGCCCAGCTAATTTTTTTGTATTTAGTAGAAATGGGGTTTCACCATGTTAGGCTGGTCGTGAACTCCTGACCTCAGGTGATCCACTGGTCTTGGCCTCCCAAAGTGCTGGGATTACAGGTGTGCGGCACCACACCTGGCCGACAATAAGCTTTTAGATACAACACCAAAAGCATAGTCCACGAAATAAAAAAATTGTTAAGTTGAATTTCGTTAAAATTAAAAACTTCTGCTTTGCAAAAGACAACAGTAAAAAATGAAAAGACAAGTCACAGACTGGGAGAAAATATTTGCAAGACACATATCTGATGAAGAATGTGTATCCAAAATGCACAAAGAACTCTTAAAACTTAATAAGAAAACAAACAGGCCGGGCACGGTGGCTCAGGCCTGTAATCTCAGCACTTTGGGAGGCCAAGGCGGGTGGATCACCTGAGGTCAGGAGTTCGAGAGACCAGCTTGACCAGTATGGTGAAACCCCATCTCTACTAAAAAGACAAAAGTTAGCCAGGCATGCTGGAGTGTGCCTGTACTCCAAGCTACTTGGGAGGCTGAGACAGGAGAATTGCTTGATCCTGGGAGGCAGAGGTTGCAGTGAGCCGAGATCTCGCTACTGCACTCCAGCCTGGGTGACAGAGTGAGACTCTGTCTCAAAAAAAAAAAGAAAACAAACAATTCAATTTTTTTTTAAATAAGCAAAAGAATTGAAAAGACACTTTACCAAGTAATAGAACAGATGAAGAATAAGAACATGAAGGCCAGGCACGGTGGCTCATTCCTATAATCCTAGCACTTTGGGAGGCTGAGGAGGGTGGATCACTTGAGGTCAGGAATTAGAGACCAGCATGGCCAACATGGTGAAACCCCTGACTCTACTAAAAATACAAAAAATTAGCTGAGCGTGGTGGCAGGCATCTGTAATCCTAGCTACTCGGGAGGCTGAGGTAGGAGAATCGCTTGAACCTGGGAGGCAGAGGTTGCAGTGAGCAGAGATGGCGCCATTGCACTGCAGCCTGGGCGACAAGAACGAAACTCTGCCTCAAAAAAAAAAGAAGAAAAGAAAAGAAAAGATGCTCAATGTTAGTAGTTATTAAAGAAATGCAACTGAGGCTGGGTTCAGTGGCTCACACCTGTAATCCCAGCACTTCAGAAGGCCAAGGCAGAGAGATCACTTGAGCTCAGGAGTTGGAGGACCAGCCTGGGCAACATGGTGAAACCCCATCTGTACCAAAAATACAAAAAAATAGCTGGGTGTGGTGGTAAGTGCCTGTGGTTTCAACTACTTGGGAGGCTGAGGTGGGGGATCATGTGAGCCCAGGAGGCAGAGGTTTCAGTGACCCGAGATTGCACCACTGTATTCCAGCTTGGGTGACAGAGTGAGGCCCTATCTCAAAAAAAAAAAAAAAAAAAAAAAAAAAAAAAAAAAAAAAAGAAGAAAAAAATGCAACTTAAAACTATGATGAGATACAACTACACACCGATTAAAATGACTACTTTTTTTTTTTTAACTGATAAGCTGAAACTCTTACTCATTGCTGCTGGGAATGCAAAATGCTGCTGGGAATGCAAAATACAGTTACTTTGGAAGATGTTTTGGCCGATTTTTAGAATGGAGATATTGTGGGGACCATGGCCACTGCACCCTTTAGGCTTTATATAAATAGCACCAATCTTTGTCGTTACCCCCAAAATGTATATGATTTTGTATTATCTTGGCAGGCAGGGGCTGGGCCCGGGGCTTCATGAGGGAGAGGGAGTAGAGTCATGGCCTTCATCACTAGTACAGCTCTTATGCCTAGGCCAAGGATACAAAATGATGTTTATTGGGGAATATTAACCAGATCAACCCTGTGGAGGAGGAAAGGAAGAATTAGGCAGAGGAAAAAGTTGAATTGTGATGCAATCGCAATAAATCAAGAGAAACTCTGTAGTTGGAATGATCCCTTGGCATTATCCCAAACTGGGGCAAGGCAACTAGTATTAATACTTGCATTGGCTGCTGTACCCATTGGATGTGGACTGACTGACTCTGGAAAGACTTTGGGTTAAGTATCTCTCTTCAGCCAAGGGCAATTTCTGAAGAGGAACTGAACTTAGTCTGTCATTTGCCAATACTCTCAGTAGCTGAGAAAATGAGTGGTTTGGTCCTAAAAAGGGGAAATCTGAGCAGTACATCCCAAAATACCGTGGCTTAAGTCTCTCTCAACAATCCAAAAATAGATGAGTTCAAGAGAAAGTAGAACAGTGGTTACTGGGGGCTGGTGGGAGGAGTGAGCGGAGAGGTGTTTAATAGGTATAGAGTTTTGGCCGGGTGAGGTGGCTCACGCCTGTAAACCCAGCACTTTGTGAGGCTGAGGCAGGCGGATCACGAGGTCAGGAATTCGAGACCAGCCTGACCAACATGATGAAACCCCATCTCTACTAAAAATACAAAAATTATCTGGGCGTGGTGGCACGCGCGTGTAATCCCAGCTACTCAGGAGGCTGAGGCAGGAGAATCGCTAGAACCTGGGGGGGCAGAGGTTGCAGTGAGCTAAGATTGCGCCACTGCACTCCAGCCGGGGTGACAGAGTGAGACTCTGTCTCAAAACAAAACAAAAGAAAACAAAAAAATAGGTGTAGAGTTTCAAGTGTCCATTTTGCAAGATGAAAGAATTCAGGCAATGGATGGTGGTGATGGTTGCAAGGTACTTAATATCCCTAAACAGTACACTTAAAAATGGTTAAGGTGGTAAATTTCATGTTATGTGTATTTTACCAAAATTGAAAATTGGGGGTGGGGGGAGTAAGTGGTCCAAGTTGTCAGTGTAGTTTAGCTTGTGACAATCAGGAATCCTGATTCCATCTCCTGGCTCTGCTATTTTCTAAATCAGTTCTTCCCAAACTTTAATATGAAGGTGAATCACATGAGCATCTTGTTAAACTGCAGGCTCTGATTCAGTATGTCTGGAGTGAGTCCTATGATTCCACCTTTCTAACAAGTTCTTAGGTGATGCTGATGCTACTTACACGTGGAGCACACAGAATAGCGAGATGGTAGGGTATCGTTTTTTGTCCGAATCTTCCAAGTTGTGTTGCTATCAAGCCTGATTTCTTGTTCAAGAGAATGGGGGAAAAGAGATGAAGAACAAGAAACTTCCTTTAAAAAAATTTTTTTTTTTTAATTTTTCTTGAGACAGGGTCTCACTCTGTTGCCCAGGCTGGAGTGCAGTGGTATCATCTCAGCTCGCTGCAACCTCTGCCTCCCAGGTCAAGAGATTCTTTGCCTCAGCCTCCCAAGTACCTGGGACTACAGGCATGCACCACCATGCCCGGCTAATTTTTGTATTTTTTTTTTTGGTAGAGATGGCCACATTTGGTAGAGATTCACCACATTGGCCAGGCTGGTCTCAAATTCCTGACCTCGTGATCCGCTCACCTTGGCCTCCCAAAGTGTTGGGATTGCAGGCGTGAGCCATCGCGCCCAGCCAACAACTTCCTTTTAAACAGGCAACTTGGAATCTGCACAAGTCACCTGTGTCTCCATTCCATTGGTGAGAATTTAGTCATGGCCACACCAAGCTATAAATCTATCACTGTAGGAGAAGAGAAAACAGATTCTGGAGGTCAACTAACAGGATATTATTCTAGGTCTCAGTTTCTTCATCTGTTAAGTCAGGGCCTTTATAGCTCTAATATTCTGGGGTTTTGCGATACCAAATGTCCTGAACTGTATCAACCCGGACTCTGTGCTTACTTATTGTTGCTGTCTTGTAATGTGACATGAAGAAAAAATTATTTTGAGACAAATATTTTTAGGCTGTGCAGTGGTGTTTACAACTAATTGATCACAACCAGTTACAGATTTCTTTGTTTCTATTTCCACTGCTTCCACTTGACTAGCCTTAAAATAAATAAATAAATTTTTTCATTTCTTTTGTTTTTTTGAGATGGAGTCTCACTCTTGTTGCCCAGGCTGGAGTGCAGTGACATGATCTTGGCTCACTGCAACTTCCACCTCCCGGGTTCAAGCGATTCTCCTGCCTCAGCCTCCCAAGTAGCTGGGATTACAGGTGTCTGCCACCATGCCCAGCTAATTTTTGTATTTTTAGTGGAGATGAGGTTTCACCAAGTTGGCCAGGCTGGTCTTAAACTCCTGACCTCAGGTGACTCGCCTGCCTCGGCATCCTAAAGTGCTGGGATTACAGGCGGGAGCCATCATGCCTGGCCTAAATAGATAAATTTAAAAACCAATATTTTAAAAATTTTGTGGATTACTTACTTTCTTCTAATGGAAGTAGATTATTAGATGAACGGAATTTCAGGTGTGAAGATACAAAATTGAAGAAACCAGGAGAGAGCTAAATTACTCTGCAGGAGAAAAAGGAGTGATTTAGGAGTTTGGAAAGAAGATCCCTGGGGCTGGAAACCTGATTGTAACCAGGCAGGCCTAAACAGCCTGCCTGAAAAAAGGGTTATAAGGGAGAGGGGGCAGCTGTTGTCTGGAGATGAATTTACGGGAAGAACAAAACTGTTTAACAGGGACTTTCATTAAATTTTACTGTGTGTTATATGATGTAACTCTCCAGTCCACCTTCTCTACAAAATCTTCCCTCTAGTGCCTTATAGAATGAACTTTCTTTTGATAAATAAAGAGAAACACTGAGTCCTACCCTAAGGATAGCACCAGGGAGGAACAAAGGCTGTCATTGTGTTATATAATAGAGTGGGTACATTCATTTATCTTCAACACTTGCATTAAACGTAAAAAAAAAGGAAACAAACATACACAACAAAAGCCAGGCCGGTTCACTGTTCTGCAAAAGGCTTCCTGGAGTGTGTCTCTGCTGTGATGACTGTATGAGGGCCTCAGCTTTGTCAGCCATGACCCAAGGAACACTTACACAATAATATTTAAGCTTCCTTCAAATTTTGCAGTTCTATGACTCAAAATCAGATGTAAACAAGATTGAAGCACAATGAAATCAACCATAATTTATCAGTTTGATGGTACCAGAAAGGTGTAAATAAGCAGTGAGGAATTGTGACAATGTAAGTTAGCCAAAAAAAAAAAAAAAAAAAAAAGAAGAAGAACTAAGATATATGGAGAATTAAAGACAAAGTGCCTTTCTTGGTATGTAAATGTACATATACATCAATTCTTCACTTTGTGCCTTGAGTTATAATTTTGCTTTTAAAACAAACCTCATTTGTTTTTGTTTGTTTTTTTTTTCTGTTTTTTAGATGGAGTTTCTCTTTTTGCCCAGGCTGGAGTGCAATGGCGTGATCTTGGCTCACTGCAACCTCTGCCTCGCGGGTTCAAGTGATTCTCCTGCCTCAGCCTCTCAAGTAGCTGGGATTAAGGTGCACACCACCATGCATGGCTCATTTTGTATTTTTAGTAGCCATGGGGTTTCACCATGTTGATCAGGCTGGTCTTGAACCCCTGACCTCAGGTGATCCACCTGCCTCAGCCTCCCAAAGTGCTGGGATTACAGGTGTGAGCCACCGTGCCCAGCCCAAACCTCATTTTTTTAGTGTGTTTTTTTTTTCTGCTATTGCAACAGGAAGCATTTTAGGACATGATTAGATATGTGGAATAGGTGACAAATGAACATGGTATAAGATTTAAAAGGCGTTAAAGGCTATACAGTGAAATGTCTCCCTCCACAACCCTTTCCCCAAACCCTGGAGGTAGGCATCCATTTCTCAGGTATCCTTTATTAAATAAAATTTATAGGAGGCCATTGTTTTAGACTGAGCTCTTGCACCAGGCCCCAACAGACCAAACCAAAATGGAGTCATTCATGCTAAGTGCTACATAATCAAGCTAAAACTTTAAGGAAGCAAGGAAATCCCCAAACAGGCCAGTTTTTCCTAAAAACAGGTTGACGTGATAAGGACATGATTTAATCCTTACAGTGAAAGTACCTTGACGTAAACTTATCTTAACCCATCTACTTTTTAAAATTTTTCTGTTTCCTCGTTTCTGCTCAGGCTACCTTACAAAAACCAACTCTTCTGCATGGCCAACAGAGCTCCCTCTGTTTTGGACAGAATGATGCCCAATTCATGAATCACTACTAAAAGCTAATTAGATCTTTAGATTTGTTGAAATTTTCATTTTTTAAAATATTTTTTGAAGAAGTATTCTCTGGATATATAAGTTAAAAAGAATGTTATAATGAGATCCTTTCTTAGTTTCAGTTATACCCTCAAAAATTAGGAGAAAAATAGTAGATATCGTAAACACTCACATTCCAAAGAGAATGGCTACCTCCCAAAGAGGATTTACAAATACAAGAATAAAAAACTGGCCTTATGAACCTTAGACCAATCTTGAGGGTATAAAAGGCTTCGCACTGAAGTGGCCATAAGAAGGGAATTTTCTTTGGAGTGTGTTATCTCTGTGTGTTTTCCTCATGTTCATGAGGGCCAAGAGGATGGTGTTTTCCCTTATCTTTTTTTTTTTTTTTTTGGTGTTTTCCCTTATCTTAAACCAAAAAGAGGCCAGGCACAGTGGTTTATGCCTGTAATCCCAGCACTTTGGGAGGCCGAGGCAGGTGGATCATCTGAGGTCAGGAGATCAAGACCAGCCTGGGCAACATGATAAAACCCTGTCTCTACTAAAAATACAAAAATTAGCTGGGTGTGGTGGCAGATGCCTGTAATCCCAGCTGCTTGGAAGGCTGAGGCAGGAGAATCACTTGAACCCGGGAGGTGGAGATTGAAGTAAGCTGAGACTCCACCACTGTACTCCAGCCTGGGCAATAGAGCATGACTCTATCTCAAAAACAAAACAAAACAAAACAAAATAAGTCTTCAAAAACACCACTTCTGACTGGGTAAGGTGGTTCAGACCTGTAATCCCACCACTCTGGAGACTGAAGTGGGTGGACTGCTCAAGCCCAGGAGTTTGAGACCAGCCTGGACAAGATGGGAAAACTCTGTCTCTGGAAAAAAAAAAAAAATAGCTGGGCATGGTGGCCGATGCCTGCAGACCCAGCTACTCGGAAGGCTGAAGTGGAAGTATTGCTCCAGCTTGGGTGACAGAGCAAAACCAAACCTATCTCAAAAAACAAACAAACAAAAAACCCAAGCCCAAACCCAAACCACCACTTCCAGGGCTGGGATGGCATCCCCCAGAGTTGTGGCACATCCGGAAAATCTAAGGTGATATATGGTTTGCAGCATGAAGAGGCAGGGAATGGAGAGAAGCGAGGCTTCTCTGGGAGTGGTCTGCATTAACATGAGGGCCAAGTGAACTCATGGGCAAAAACCAACCTGAAATTGACTTTAAAAGGACCTTGCCCAATTGGGCTGCCTAGAAGGACATGGGATTCCAAAAGAATGTGTGTTTGAGTTGAACCATCAGACATCCAAGTGCTGAGGGATGGAGGTGTAAGTAGGCTGCCAGAGAAAAGCATCAACTACATCACAGGAATTGCAACTGGAAGTCTCCAATGGGAGGGGTCTTTGAGAAAACTGTAGAAGAGAGAAAGAATAAGAACCAGTATCTGCTACTCCTAGAAGGCCCCAACAAGAATTACCTGGTCACCAGTTCAGTAAAGGCTTTCCCGTCCGTTATTTCTTCCTTTTCTTTTCAACCCTGGGGCATCCGAGTTGCTTAGGGGAGAGGAGCAATAGAAGCCCAAAGCCAAGAAACTGAGCTGTAATAAGCCTCCCAGGCTGCCCCTCTTCCTCGTGCTTAAAGCAAAGCTGAGCTGGAGGAAGCAATGAGCTCTCATTCATACAGGGGCTTCGTGTTTCCATTATTTCACTGGACTGGCCAGTTTAATTACAGCACTGAAACTATTATTGGAAATAAAAGTGCTAGGGGACTTCATATTATCTGAGTGATCAAAAAAGTTGTGAGGCATCCACACAAAATTTCCTTCAAGGTTTAAAGAGGCAGTAAAAGTAAAGAATAATGTTGCTTTATTCATATCCCTAATTTTGAGTGTGACCCATTGCTATGGTCTGAATATTTGTGCCCTCCAAAACTCATGTAGAAATTTAATCCATTTAATCCCAATGTGGCAGTATTGAGAGGTGGACCTTTTTTTTTATTTTTTTATTTGAAACGGAGTCTCGCTCTGTCGCCCAGGCTCGAGTGCAGTAGCATGATCCCAGCTCACTGCAACCTCCACCTCCCGGGTTCAAGCAGTTCTCCTACCTCAGCCTCCCAAATAGCTGGGACTACAGGCACGTTCCACCACACTCGTCTAATTTTTGTATTTTTAGTAAAGACGGGGTTTCACCATATTGGCCAGGCTGGTCTCGAACTCCTGACCTCATGATCCACCCTCGGCCTCCCAAAGTGCTGGGATTACAGGCAGGAGCCACCACGCCCTGCTGAGAGGTGGACCTTTAAGAGGTGATTGACTCATGAATTCTCTGCCTTCATGAATGGATTAATCCATTCATGGATTAATAGAGTCATGGGTTAATGGATTAATGAGTTATGTGAGTAGCTTTATAAGAAAAGGAAGAGCGACCTGAGCTAGCACTCTCAGCCTCCTCACCACCTGATGCTCTGTGCCACCTCCAGCCTCTGCGGAGTCCCCTCTAGCAAGAAGACCCTCACCAGATTCAGCCCTTCAACCTTGGCCTTCTCAGCCTCCAAACTGTAAGAAATACATTTTGTTTCTTTATAAAATACCCAGTTTCAGGTACTCTGTTAAAAGCAACAGAAAACAGACTAAGATATCCATTTAAGAACACTGTTCTGGAATATGTGCATGCCATACATAGTGTTTTACACATTCCTTTTTTAATCATGAGATAGCTGGATGGCTGTCCCACATGAGTATATATAAATTTACTGCATTCTTGTAAACAGCTGCACAGTAGACCATTTTAAGAATGTACAATAGTTTATTTTAACTGTTCCTTTTTAGCATATTAGTAAGTCTTGATCTGTACAAATAAATGTATTAGAAAGCTTAAAACAAACATTTGAATGCTTCCATTATACTTAGACACATTTTCTAAGTTTCCCTTTATTTTATGTGAAAAATATTCCCATTTTAGAGGAATTTTGTATAAAAAGAAAAAAAAAGACTCTCATTGCTAAGTTTCAAAGTAATCCATATTACACTTAATTATCTACTGCATGATTGTCTTTTGTGATTGAAAGCTGAAACTAAAAGCAATCAATATTAAGCAAAACAGGCCGGCACAGTGGCTCATGTCTGTAATCCCAGCACTTTGGGAAGCTGAGGCGGGTGAATCACCGGAGCTCAGGGGTTAGAGACCAGCCTAGGCAACATGGCGAAACCTTGTCTCTGAAAAACATACAAAAATTAGCCAGACATAGTGGCAGGCGTCTGTGATCCTAGATACTCAGGAGGCTGAGGCAAGAGAATCGCTGGAATTCAGGAGGCAGAGGTTGCAGTGAGCCAAGATCGCGCCACTGCACTCCAGCCTGGGCAACAGAGTGAGACTCTGTCTCAAAAAAAATTAAGCAAAGCAATTAAACTAAATTCATTCTGGAACTCAGCCTGGCTACGTGAAAATATTTTTCACTTGTTCCAAATGATAATATTTTAATACTATCTAGCAGTTACTTATTTTTAAATTCACTTTTTGAGCCTGGGTATGGTGGTTCACACCTATAATCCCAGTACTTTGGGAGGCCGAGGTAGGAGGAACACTTAAGCTCAAGAGTTTGAGACCAGCCTGGGCAACATAGTGAGACCTTGTCTCTGCAGAAAATTTCAAAAATTAGCTGGGCATGGTAGTGCACTTCTGCAGTCCCAGCTACTCAGGAGGCTGAGGCAGGAGGATGGCTAGGTTGAGGCTGCAGTGAGCCATGATTGTGCCACTGCACCCCAACCTGGGCATCAGAATGAGACCCTGTCTCAAAACATTTTTTTAAAATAAAATTCACTTTTTGGTTCTTTCTCTTCTGGTCCCAAGAGCTTCTGGAGCCACAGGTTATGATGTAGACATGGCCAAGTCCAAGAACCACACCACACACAACCAGTCCCAAAAATGGTACAGAAATGACATCAAGAAACTGTGATAACAAAGATACAAACCTCTTAATGGGGTAGACCCCAAGTTCCTGAGGAACATGTGCTTTGCCAAGAAGCACAACAAGAAGGGCGTGAATAAGAAGCGGGCCAACAGTACCAATGCCATGTGTCTGTATGCCAAGTCTATCAAAGTCCTCAAAAAGGCCAAGGAGGTTAAGTCCCAAATCCCAAAGCACATCATCCAGAAGCTCAATTGACTTGCCTACATTGCCTACCCCAAGCTCGGGAAGCGTGCTCCTGCCTGCATTGCCAAGGGTCTTACCTCTGCCCACCCAAGACCAAGGCCAAGTCTCAAATCAAGGCCCTGCAGCCCCAGCTTTGGCTGCAGCTCCAGCTGCATTTCCAGCTCTAGCTCAGGCCCCTGTGAAGACTCCAGAGAGGAGGCCTCTGTCTGCCAGTGTGAGGACAGAAGGACTGGTGTGACCTGCTGGGCTGCCATCTGCATGGAGTTGGTGTCCTCTTGTGCTATTTGTACAAATCAACCTAAGGCAGGAAAAAAAATCACTTTTTATCTAACAAACACTTTTGTGCTTATGATGTGTCAGACGCTGTTCCAAGAGCATTACTAATGTTAACTCATTTAATCCTCATAACAACCCAAGGAAGTTGAGTACTGTCATTATCCCCAACTTATGAAGCAGCAGGTGAAGAAATTGAGGCCTAGAGAGTTAAGTAACTTGGCTAAGTTCACCTAGCTAGAAAGTGACAGAGCAAGGGTTTGAACACAAAAAGTCCGGCTTCAAAGTTCATGATCATACTCACTGTGCCATATTGTCCCCTTGTAGGCTGTATATATAAAAATATATACATATATATCACTGCAAGGAAATATATATCACTGCAATGATGAAGACTTACGGAATGTTTTCTTAAAGCAGAACTAGTCATCAAAGCCATAGTCTTCAGCACCATCATTATTAACAGCAAAACGTGGGCCGGGCATTGTGGCTCACGCCTGTAATCCCAGCACTTGGGAGGCTGAGGCGGGCAGATCATGAGGTCAGGAGATCGAGACCATCCTGGCTAACATGGTGAAACCCCATCTCTACTAAAAATACAAAACGAAATTAGCCGGGCATGGTGGCAGGCGCCTGTAGTCCCAGCTACTTGGGAGGCTGAGGCAGGAGAATGGCATGAACCTGGGAGGCGGAGCTTACAGTGAGCCAGGATTGCACTACTGCACTCCAGGCTGGGCCACAGAGGGAGACTCCATCTCAACAACAACAACAACAACAAACAAACAAACAGTCACACAAAAAAATGTGATGATGTGTGCACACAATATACAGTGGACACCATTCTGGCACTGTCGATAAGAGAAATAAAACAAGCCCTGCTCCTAATTTTCCTACTGGGTCAAAGGAAATTGCCAGAGGCAGCATTCTATGGTGTTACCAGGTCAGTTCCAAAAAAAAAAAAAAAAAAAAAAAAGAGGCCTAAATAATTAAATCCAGGGAAAACTAAGAGAAAGCCAAGATGTAAGTTCAACCAGCTTGGAACTGAAGGAGTGCTAATAAGTGAGATGGTTAGAAACAGGTTAAAGGAAAGGGATCTTGAATTCTTACCTGGGTGAGAGTTTAGGTGATGGCCACAGATGGTTACCAGTGGTCTCCAGTGCGGGTGTGGAGAGAAGAGTTAAAAGAACCCTGTGGAGAGAGTGCCATGCTTGCCCACCTAATACTGGGGAAATCCAAGGCTTGAACATACTACTTCTGAATCCAGGTAGTACTCTTTTAGTAGCACACACTAGAAATGTATACACATGATTGGCTGATCTTGATAAACTTTCAGTGAGAGGGGTCAGAAACGGGAAACTCTGATGCTTACAGAGGCCAGGTGGTGGCTGTAAATGTGTGTGGCAGGTCTGGGTAGCTAAGTGCAGAGTACCAACCTCCTTCTGACACTATTCAACAGCAGCCTGGGATTTTATCGTTTAATTATTTCATGCCACAATCATTGTGTATGCAGTAAGCAGCCACTCTAGGGAAAGGGGTACTAGCTAAAAAGACACATTCTTGAAAAAAAAAAGACAACTAAACATAGCGATTTTATTCTTTGCAGATTCTAAGGGGAAGTCAGGCACGTGACGGTGGATGAGTCTCCCACAAAGGATATGTGCATGATAATGGCAGAGACAGCTGGATTACAGGTTCGTCTTAATGCTCTGTACCCTCAGTGTGTAAACAGTGTTCATACTTATTTTCAGAGATAGAAAGGAAGGGGGGTGCTAAGGAAACTAGGTCAGATCATAACCAGTCTTGGGTGGGATGAGGTTGGGGAGGAACCCCAGGAAACAGAGCTGGTGGTGACAGCTGCGAGGAGTGGAAGAATGAGTGCTGAATCCTTTGGGAGCTGGCTGAAAGCAAGAAAGAGACGCTGAGGGAGGTTAGAATAGAGGAATAGAGCTGGGACTTCTTAACAGCCTTCCCCATGGGGTTCTGGGATGGCACCCAATGGTAACATTTTAAAGCAATTAAATTGGAGAAATGATGAAATTGTACCTGATTGAATAAAAGTAGTTATATAAAAGTCACAATATTGTAGCTGGTATAAATGTTTAGGTCATTTAGTTTAATTTGCCCAAATTGACTCTCCACAGACAGCCACATTTTGCATAAAATCATCTTCCACTTTTGAGGGTACATTTGCAACCAAGTAAGAAATTTCAACTAGAATAGCTCAACTATTATTTTCTCTACTTAAGAGGCAGTTTGTCCTAAATGTATTTTCTTCCTCTGCTACATATCTAAAATTTTTGCTTTCATCTTAATCATGCCCACAATAAGCTTCTAAAAATAAAGCAATAAAAAGTCTTAGGGAGGAAAAGACAGAAGGTTATAAAAATTGTTAGCTTTATAAATAAACAAACGAGACTAGTAACAGAAAAAGTTTAGAATTTTACATTTCAATACTTTAAACCTATTTTACAGGGTTTTATTTGCTTCATGAATTCTACTATAAACTCTAGGAAAATAAGAATATATGCCCACCGAAGTTATTTTACTTCATATCTCACCATTTGGAAACAAAAGTTTTGTTATTTTTAAACGCAGCCAAGAAAGAACTTTAGATAATGAATGATGTCAGAATCAGTTCTTTTATTGCGGAAACATATTGATTTAATCTATCGTATATCTAACAAATTCAAAGAAATGATAGTGACATAATATCAGGTAAAAATTTCTAGTAGGAAAGAAAATCTTTGTATTTTTCATCAGCAAAAAAAATACAGTGGACCTCTAATAGTTAATTACATATAAGTAGATTTGCCTAATAAGTCCTCAGCTTCTGAGTTATCTGGAAGGTTTTATACAAATTCCTTAGGTCTTGGGAGCCCGAGGCTGGAGGATCACTGGAGGTCAGGAAATCGTGACCAGCCTGGCCAATATGGTGAAATCCCGTATCTACGAAAAACACAAAAATTAGCTGGGCATGGTGGCAGGCGCCTGTAATCCCAGCTACTCGGGAGGCTGAGGCAGGAGAATCGCTTGAACCCAGGAGGTGGAGGTTGCAGTGAGTCGAGATCGAGCCACTGCACTCCAGCCTGGGTGACAGAGTGAGACTTCATCTCAAAAAAAAAAAAAAAAAAAAAAAAATTCCTTAGGTCACTCCAAAGCACAGTAAGATTTATTAAGTGATTCTAATTTTCTAAACAGAAGTTAAATACATTGTAATGTGTTACCGAATTATGTAATATATACGGAGCTGGCTTAAAAAAATGTTTCTGGCCAGGTGCAGTAGCTCACGCCTATAATCCCAACACTTTAGGGGGCTGAAACCAGTGGATCACTTAAGGTCAGGAGTTCAAGACCACCCTGGCCAACATGGTGAAACCCCATCTCTACTAAAAATACAAAAATTAGCTGGACGTGATGGCACATGCCTGTAATCCCAGCTACAGGGGAGGCTGAGGCAGGAGAATCACTTGAACTGGGGAAGTGAAGGTTGGAGTGAGCCGAGATTGTGCTACTGCACTCCAGACTGGGCAACAGAGCGAGACCTCATCTAAAAAAATATATAAAATAAAATAATGTTTCTATTGAAAGGGTTCACATAATGTTGGTTATCAAAAGCCCCTCTAACTATGATTAAAAATAAAATTTAAAAGATGGCTGTGAAAATAGGTAATTTGGTAATTTCCTTTTGAAATTAATTTAAACAATATGTTTTTAGATACTTAGCAAATGATTTGTTTATTACAAATAGATTATGTTCAAAATAAGCACATTGTATTAAAATATAAATATTCCTCAAAAAACTTTTTTTTCTTGGATAAATTTAAAAGATTGCAGAATGTGGCAGGTGGGTGTTACATGTAGTCTTACAGCCTAAGCAAAGAAAACTTAGGAACAGATTTTAAAAAATAGATTAAGTGTTTTCTAAGCTACTGCTTGCCTACACTAGCCAGCTGAAGGCTTTAAATAATTTAATCCCTACAACAACTGCCAGCTCCAACTGGAAGCCTTAAACAAGGACTGGATTCACCGAGGACTCCAACAGGTGCAGTCTAATAGTGATTCCCTAAATCTGCTACTGTTCTATGTTTGTACATGTGTAGGACCCTATATTCTTAACTTCAACAGAGCACTAATCAAATTAATTCAAGTGCTTTTTGTTTTGTCCCATCTTCCACTATCATATTATTTAAGGCATTCTTCTATTTTTCTCTGGAGGAATACTTAGTGCAATGTGTAGCATATGAGGTTGTTTTCAACATTCCTTTTCTAAGCAAGAGCCCTCTTATTACAGTTTTAGTTTTGGAAAGCAAATTAACTAATAAATTACTTTCTTCCTGTTAATACTGCTTTTTCTATCAACTAACATTCATATATTAGCACTTATAGAGAACTATTGGAGTTGCTTGGAAGATTTTCTTTTTCCTTTTATTCATTTGTAAGATATATAAAAATGTACTTGTCACTGATGTATTCAAATATATTTAGAGAGAAAATCACACATATTTAACATTTACATAATTAAACCGAGATAAGTTTTCCTA
Organism: Homo sapiens; assembly: GCF_000001405.40. Lineage (NCBI taxonomy): Eukaryota > Metazoa > Chordata > Mammalia > Primates > Hominidae > Homo > Homo sapiens. Next base: position 33,185,416 of record NC_000011.10, on the reverse strand, counting down.
TTAAATTAAATTGGAAAACCAAACAAGAAAAGACCACTCTCATGCCCTTAGGAGTAAATATATGATGATATTATAATAAGGCCTTTGGTAGACAAGCAGTCAAAAGAAGTTTAAAAGCCAATAGCTGGCCGGGTACAGTGGGTCATGCCTGTAATCTCAGCACTTTGGGAGGTCAAGGTGGGCAGATCACTTGAGGCCAGGAGTTTGAGACCAGCATGGGCAACATAGCGAAACCCCATCTCTACTAAACATACAAAAATTACCTGGGCGTGGTGGTACGCACCAGTAATCCCAGCCACTTGGGGAGCTGAGGCAGGAGAATCTCTTGAACCTAGGAGGTGGAGGCTACAGTGAGCCCAGATCATGCCACTGCACTCCAGTCTGGGCGACAGAGTGAGACTCCATCTCAAAAAAAAAAAAAAAAAAAAAAGCAATAGCTGCCTGGAAGTCCACATTCAAGCTGGCCCCTTACCTTATATCATATACAAAAATTAACTTAAAAATGGATTAAAGACCTAACATAAGTTCTAAAAGTATAAAACTCCTAGAAGAAAACAGGGGAAGATCTTCAGGACACTGGATTTGGCAATGATTTCTTAGATATGACACCAAAAGCACAAGCATCAAAAGGAAAAATATAATTTGTACAGTGGCTCACATGTGCAAACCCAACACTTTGGCAGGCTGAGGTGGTAGGATCGCTTGAGGTTGGGACCTTGAGACCAGCCCGGGCAACATAGTGAGACCACATCTCTACCAAGAAAAAAAAGCACAAATAGACAAATGGTATTATATCAAACTTAAAATCTCCTATGCATCAAAGGATACAATTAACAGAATTTTTAAAAGCCTACAAAAAGGGAGAAAATGTTAACAAATCATATATCAAAGAAGTTAATATATAGAATATATTTAAAAAAAAAACTCCTACCACTCAACAACAAAACACAATTTAAAAATGGACAAAAAACTTGAATAGACATTTCTCAAAAAAGAAATATATACAAATAGGCCGGGCATGGTGGGTTATGCCTGTAATCCCAGCACCTTGGGAGGCCAAGGTGGGCAGATCCCCTGAGGTCAGGAGATCGAGACCATCCTGGCCAACATGATGAAAACTTGTCTCTACTAAAAATATGAAAATTAGCTGAGGGTGGTGGAGGGTGCCTGTAATCCTAGCTACTGGGGAGGCTGAGGCAGGAGAATCGCTTGAACTCGGGAAGCAGAGGTTGCAGTGAGCTGAGATCATGCCACTGCAGTCCAGCCTGGGTGACAGAGCAAGACTCCGTCTCAAAAAAAAAAAAAAATATGTATATATATAAAAGTATACATATATAAAAAAGTATACACACACACACACAAATGCCCAAGAAACATATGAAAAGATGCTCAACATTGCTAATCATTGGGAAAGGCAAATCAAAACCACATTGAGGTATCACCCTATACAGATTAGAATGACTGCTATCTAAAGAACAGAAAAAAACAAGTGTTGGCAAGGATTTGAAAGAATTGGGATTCTTTGTACTGTTGGTGGGAATGTAAAATTGTGCAGCCATTATGAGAAATAGTATTAAGATTCCTCACAAAATTAAAAATAGACTTATCATATGATCCAGCAGTCTCACTTCTGAATATACATCCAAAATAACTGAAAGCAGGGTCCTTTATTTATTTATGTATTTATTTTAGAGACAAGCTCTCACTCCATTGCCCAGGCTGGAGTGCAGTGGTGCAATCACGGCTCACTACAGCCTTGACCTCCCCAGGATCAGCTCCTGAGTTTGTAGAGACGGGTTTTGCCATGTTGCCCAGGTTGGTCTCAAACTCCTGGGCTCAAGTTATCCACCCGTCTCAGCCTCCTAAAGTGCTGGGATTACAGGAGTGAGCCACTGTGCCTCGTCTCTGAAAGCAGTCTTGAAGAGATATTTGCACACCCATATTCATCCTGGTATTGTTCACAGTAGCCGAGAGGTAGAAGTAACACGAGTATCCATTGACAGATGAACGGAAAAAGAAAATGTGATACACACATAGAATGGAATATCTGTGAAGGATCACACATTGTGCTATGTAAAAAAAAAAAGATGAGGAACTAGTTCTAGGATCAACTAAAAATCCTGTCACGTGCTGCAACATGGATGAACCTCAAGGATATAATGCTAAGTGAAATATGCCTAATAGTAATTCCCTAAGTCTGCTACTGATCTGCTTGTGCATGTGTCAAACATTATATTCTTAAATTCAACAGGACACTTATTAAATTAATCCAAGTGCCTCTTGTTTTGTCCCATCTCCCATAGTCATGTTACTTAAGACACTCCCTTTATGATTCCACTCATATGAAGTATCTCAAGCAGTCAAAACCATAGAAATAAAAAGTAGAAGTCTCCTTTAATCTAGAAAAGTTGCCCTTTAATCTAGAAAAGTTGCCCCCTTTTTTTTGTTTGTTTTTGTTTTCCATAATTGACATTTTTTTAAAGAGTCAGGACAATTGTTTTGCCAAGCTGATCAATCCTGGGATCTCTAATGGTTTCCTCATTGTTATATCTAGATAAGATATTTTTGCAGTATACTACATTGTTGATTTGTGCCCTTTTCATATCAGGGAGTGTTCTGTAAGGGGTTAACTCAGGAGGCTTGGACTGTTCAAACATCCCCAAGAAAGGACTGGACCTTGACCTGCTGCTGGAAGGTAACCTCTGAGCAATTATCCTGCCTGATAAGAGTGTTTCTATATGCCTTAGGCCCTGGGCCAAATTATTTGTTTGATCAGTTAGTTTGTGCTAACGATCTGACTTACCGTGAACACCTGTTTTTCTATGCCTGGGGTCCTGGACCATGCTATATCAGTTTGACCTCTCGAGGTCTGGAGACTGGACAGCTAAAGTCAGCCACATGGACAACACATGCTTATGTGAAAATCCTGAGGACCAAGGGGCTTGGGTCTGCTTCTTTGGACAGCAGTCTTCACACCTGTTGTCACACATAGTTGCTGAGAGAATTAAGTACAGTCTGTGTGGCCCCACTGGGAGAGGACAACTGGAAGCTTGCCCCTGATTTCTCCTATACTTAACCTCATGCACCTTTTCACTTTGCTGATTTAAATCTGTGCCCTTTCTTTGTAAGATACTGTAGCTGTGAGCAGAACAGGTTTTTTTTGAGTTTTTTGAGTACTTCTAGTGAATCATCAAACCTGAGGTTGATCTTAGGGATCCCCAACACAAGGGGCACAGCATGTCAGTTTGCTTCATTAACTTTGTTCAGGCCGGTGCAGTGGCTCATTCCTGTAATCCCAGCACTTTGGGAGGCTGAGGTGGGCGGATCACTTGAGGCCAGGAGTTCTAGACCAGCCTGGCCAACATGGCAAAACCCTGTCTCTACCAAAAATACAAAGATTAGCCAGGCCTGGTGGTGCACGCCTGTGATCCCAGCTACTTGGGCGACTGAGGCAGGAGAATGGCTTGAATCGAGGAGGCGGAGGTTGCAGTGAGCGGAGATCATGCCACTGCACTCCAGCCTGAGCAACAGAGCGAGACTCTGTCTTAAAAACTACAACAAGAAGAGCCAAAAAACAAACTTTGTACATTCAGCTAAGGTCCTCCTGGATTTCTCTGACATAAAGATGTTTTTCCTTTGTAATTAAGAAATATTCTGTGGAGTGATACTTGGAAACTATGAGTATCCTGTTCCCCAACAGTATTTCACATAATAGTTTTAGTATTTATTGATGATTATTGTATGGATCAATGATTACTTTGGAGGCTATAAAAAGGTGGTCTTCTATGATTTCAGTTGAAAGCCGGTTTTTTTTTTTTTTTTTTTTTTTTTTTTTTGAGACGGAGTCTTGCTCTGTCCGCCAGGCTGGAGTGCAGTGGCGTGATCTCAGCTCACTGCAAGCTCCGCCTCTCGGGTTCACGCCATTCTCCTCCCTCAGCCTCCTGAATAGCTGAGACTACAGGAGTGTGCCACCACGCCCAGCTAATTTTTGTAGTTTTTTTTTGTTGTCGTCGTTGTTGTTGCTGTTTTGAGACGGAGTCTCGCTCTGTCCCCCAGGCTGGAGTGCAGTGGCGCGATCTCAGCTCACTGCAAGCTCCGCCTCCCAGGTTCACGCCATTCTCCTGCCTCAGCCTCCCGCGTAGCTGGGACTACAGGCGCCCACCACCACACCCGGCTAATTACAGGTGTGAGCCACTGCGCCCAGCCTAAAAGTCCTTTATGTAAGTGTTGGAGACATGTGTCCTGAATGTGGCAGTTGCGACTCAGCGTTGGGCAGAGACCTCCATGTGAGTCCACATGGGTGTGGTGGGAGCTGGAATGTCTGGGACTCCTACAACTAGAACAGGTTATTTACCTAAGCATGAACTGGAGATGTCTGTGCTGGTGATGGAGACTAGGATGTACATTTCAAACTCTGCCTGTGCAGAAGATGCAATTTCACACTGACTCCCACAGAATTTTCATTTCTGTTCCTCATTTACCCAGAAGGCAGAGACACAGCCCAGGGCTCAATTCCAGGGACTTGGCTGGGCATGGTGGTTCACGCCTGTAATCCCAGTACTTTGGGTGGCCAAGGCAGGCAGATCACGAGGTCAAGAGTTAGAGACCAGCCTGGCCAACATGGTGAAACCCTGTCTCTACTAAAAATACAAAAATTAGCCAGGCATGGTGGCATGTGCTTGTAGTCCCAGCTACTCGGGAGGCTGAGGCAGGAGGATCGCTTGAACTCGGGAGGTGGAGGTTGCAGTGAACAACGATTGTGCCACTGCACTCCAGCCTGGGTGACAGACAGACTCCATCTCAAAAAAAAGAAAAAGAAAGAAAGAAAAAGAAAAATACAGAGCTTTTAATCAATGCTTGTTTTCTATTTCTGAATGTTTTGTGTCAAGAGTGTCTAATGAGGCTTGTAAAATATGTACTCTTTAGAAGATACATGAATTTTGCTTTTACTAATGAAAAGCTAATTTTTCAATATTTGTAGGGACATTTTATAGGAACGTTTATTCTTTCACATGAACATTAAAAAACAGCAAAACTGGATTTTCAAATTTCAAAAGCCACATTAACACCACTAATACTTTTTAACATGGAGGTTTTTTTTGGGGGGGGGGGGGTTGAGACGGAGTTTTGCTCTTGTTGCCCAGGCTGGAGTGCAATGGTGCAATCTCGGCTCACCGCAACCTCCACCTCCCAGGTTCAAGCAATTCTCCTGCCTCAAGCTCCAAAGTAGCTGGGACTATAGGTGCGTGCCACCACGCCCAGCTAATTTTGTATTTTTAGTAGAGACGGGGTTTCTCCATGTTGGTCAGGCTGGTCTCGAACTCCCAACCTTAGGTGATCCGCCCACCTCGGCCTCCCAAAGTGCTGGGATTACAGGCGTGAGCCACTGCGCCCAGCTGAAGTTTTTTTTAAGGTGATTTTCTTTTTTTGTAATAATAGGGAATCATTGATTCATTTTTGGTTAATCAATGAGTTATAATCCATTCCTGTTATTTATTTTGATGCTAAGTTTAACCAGTGGGAGTCCCCTTCGAGCTGGCTTCTGTGTCCCCACCAATTTTTCAGCACTTTTTTACTTTCTGCTACAGTAAGATGTTCAAATGTAACTTGACTTTCCTTGCCATAGCCTCAGAATCAACGATTTTGAGGCAGAATAGGGTCTGGAGGCAGGGAATCTAAGGCTGATTCATGCTGATTTCCTAGAACTAAACCAAAGGAAAACCCCAACTTCCTATGCTCGGGTAACAAAAGGACTAGAGGCTACTCCCTTTGCAACCCACCCCTTTTCTGCATGGCAGATGAAAAATTGAAAGTACCTGTGATTGGTCCCCTCCCACAACCAATCAGGCTAGTCATGGGCCAAGTCTTCATTTGCATAGGAGTATAACTTTATAACTTCACTTTAGCCTCTGATTGGTCACTTTCCACAACCAATCGGAAGTCTGCTTAGGGTGTAACTTTGTAATTTCACTTCAGCCTCTTTTTGGTCACTCTGCAATCAATCAGACTGATCACAGGCCACTACTTCATTTACATAGGGTGTATACCAAGTAACCAATGGGAAACCTCTAGAGGGTATTTAAACCACAGAAAATTCTGTAACCAAGCTCTTCAGCCACTTGCTTGGGCTGCTCCCACCCTGTGGAGTGTGAATTCATTTTCAATAAATCTCTCCTTGTGTTATTTCATTCTTTGTGTGATTTGTCCAATTCTTTTGTTTAAAGTACCAAGAACCTGGACACCTTCCACCAGTAACAATTTCTCCAAACAGTTCTTCCTTCTTTTACCTCCTTTGAACCTTAATTCCAGAACAGTCATCACCTCTAGGAGTGATGAATAGAAAACAGGTTTAAATTAGTCTACTAGGGGACTAGAAGAAAAATTACAAGCTATCTTCAGCCTGAAGAGTCCCTGGTTGTATGTGAATCATTAGATACTTCCCTCAAGAAAACCTCAAACATGCATGTTTTCTTCATTCTTTCACTGGAAAAGTAAATGTGTATGTTGATACAATCTCTTTTTTATCTCTATTAGTTCTTTCTCATGCTGTTATAAATAACTGCCCGAGACTGGGTAGTTTATAAAGGAAAGAGGTTTAATTGACTCACAATTCTGCAGGGCTGGGAAGGCCTCGGGAAACTTACAATCATGGTGGAAGGGGAAGCAAACACATGCTTTTTCACATGGCAGCAGGAAGGAGAAGTGCTGAGCAAAAGGGGAAAAGCCCATTATAAACTCATTAGATCTCGTGAGACCTCCCTCACTACCATGAGAATAGCATGGAGGTAACCGCCCCCATGATTCAATTACCTCCCATCAGATCCCTCCCACCACACGTGGGGATTATGGAAACTACAATTCAAGATGAGATTTGGGACACAGCCAAACCATATCAGTATCCTATCAGCTCACATTCTGAGAAAGTGACCCAACACTATAAGGACATTTTGGGCCAGATCCAAAGAAGTCAAATTGTATTTTTTCTAAGAATCACCGTCTTCTAAATTTCCAATTGTTACTAAATTAAGTCAGAGCAGACTACCTGGTCAGACTACCCTATATCTGCCACAGATAATTCCATTTAGGGTTTGAGGACCTATTGATCTCACCTCTTTCAAGTAGCGGGGCAGCCCATGTAGGGAATTTGGTTTAATTCTGAATCAAATGGGAAGTGATTGAAGAGTTTTAAGCAACAGGAATGACGTGATCCAGCATTTTAGCTGGATCGCTCTGACTACTCTAGGGAGAATTGACTGAAGCGATACACATGACAATCATTGGAAAGCACTCTTGATGGCTCACTGCAGGAAGCATAATTGACTGGGATCCCAGATGCGGGGTTTTGAGCCCGTGCTTTCCACTGGCTGCTCTCAGCAGGGATACTAAGGCAGACCCATTTCCAGGAATTGCAGAACTCCTCGACAGGCAACATTTTAGCTCAGGACTCCCTAACAGCTTTGCTGAATTTTTCATAACTGCACAAGTCTAAGAATGTTCCACCCATTGTTCTTTCTCTCCTTCATTTGAGTTGCATCACAGTCTGACAGCTCTCCCAGCTTCTCCTGCTCCCTCCCCATTTTCTCTCACAGGGGTTTCCCACAATAAATTTCTTGTACATTTAATCCTGTCTTGGCATCTGCTTCTCGGAGGACCTGGACTATCATAGAGATCAAAGGCAGAAGCAGGGAGACCAGTTAAAAGGTAATCACAGTAATCCAGGTGAAAGATGATTGTAGCTTGGAGCAGACTGAGGGCAAAAGGAGTGGAGAGAAGCAATCAGATTTCTCCTCCATCCCATATCTTAACAGCAAATCTTCTGAAGATAGAATTTACTAGATTAGCTGTTAAGATATGGGATGGAAGAGAAACTGAGAAGTCAAGGTCACTCCATTGTTTGGACCTACGCAATTGGAAAGATGGAGTTGCCATTTTCTGAGATGGTAAAGCATGGGAAAAGAGCATGTTTGGTGAATCAGATCAAAAGCTTGGTTTTAGACATACCAGTATTAATTTAAAATTTTTTAATTTTTTAATTTTATTTTTAAAGACAGGGTCTCACTCTTTCAGCAAGACTGGAGTGCAGTGGCATGATCATAGCTCACTGCAGTCTTAAACTTCTGGACTCAAAGCAATCCTCCTCCCTCAGCTTCCCAAAGTGCTGGGATTACAGACTGTATCGTTTGAGATACTATTAGATACCCAAGTGGAGATGTCATATAGGCAATTTATTTAATGAGTCTGGAATTCAGAATAGAGGTATTGGCTAACGATACAACTTTGAGAGTTAGTGTATAGCTGGCATTTGAAAGCATGGAACGGAGGCCAGGCATGGTGGTTCACCCCTGTAATCCCAGCACTTTGGGAGGCTGAGCTGGGAGGATCACTTGAGGCCAGGAGTTCGAGACCAGCCTTGGCAACATAGCAAGGCCTCATCTCTACTAAAATAAATAAATAAATAAATAAATAAATAAAGCCATGGAACTGAATGTGATTATCAAGAAAAAGATTGCGATAATGGTCAAGCCAGTGGCTCACACCCGTAATCCCAGCACTTTGGAAGGCCAAGATGAGGAGATTTCTTGAGTCCAGGAGTTTGAGGATGTAGTGAGCTATGATTGTACCACTGCACTCCAGCCTGAGCAACATAACAAGGCCCCATTTCAATTTTTTTTAAATTTAAAAAACAGTTCTAAACTGAGACCTGGGGAATTCTAAATTTGGGAGATGAGTATTCATCAAAAGAGACAAAGAAAGATCATAAAAGTTAGAACTGTCATAACTTCCTGGTGAAATTAACCTTTTAACATGGGGTAATCTCCTTCATGAGTAATACTCTTTTATCTTAAAGTCTATTCTGCGTGACATTAAAACAGCTACCTCAGGGTCTTTTTCTTAATAGATGCCAATACATTTTTCCCATAATTTGACTCCCAATTTTTCTATGTCTTTTTGTTTTAGATATGATCACTCATAGAAGTTAAGTTGCTTTTAAAAAATATGTTTTACAGGTGAGGCATGGTGGCTCACGCCTGTAATCCAGCACTTTGGGAGGCTGAGGTGGGCGGATCACCTGAGGTCAGGAGTTCGAGACCAGCCTGACCAACATGGAGAAACCCTGTCTCTACTAAAAATACAAAATTAGCCGGGTGTGGTGGTGCATGCCTGTTATCCCAGCTACTTGGGAGGCTGAGGCAGGAAAATCGCTTGAACCCAGGAGGCAGAAGTTGCGGTGAGCCAAAATCATGCCATTGCACTCCAGCCTGGGCAACAAGAGCAAAACTCTGTCTCAAAAAACAAAACAAAACAAAAAATTTGTTTTGCTTGAACCATCTCATGTGAAAAAAAGAAAAACAATGTTTTGACAATTTTGGTCTTTTAAGTAAAGGGGTTGAAAAACTTACATTTATAGTGATTAGTGATTTATTTGGATTTTACTTGACAAGTTTATTTTGTGTTTTCTGTCATTTTTGTTTTTGTTTTACATTCCTCTTTCTTCCTTTATTTTTGATTTGTTGAAATTTGTTTTTTTCATTCTATTTCGTTCCTTCTCCTTAATTTTCATTTCATACTGTTCTCTTGACTTACATTTTCTTTATCTCTTCTTTTGATGATTGCCCTATTTTAACATATCCTCTCAACAAAGTCAAGAATGAACCAATATATTTATTCTCCTAAACAATATGAGAACCTTACAACGCTTTAACTTTGATCTCTGAAATGCCAATTACAATGTTACTGTGCCCAGTATTTTAGTTTCGGACTTTCCTCCCGAAGTCAAATATTATTTTATAGAATGTTTCTTTAGATTTAGTCACACATTCATCAATATTATTGCTCACAAGCCCTGCTTATATATTAAGACTTTCCATATGGAATCATTTTCCCACTACTTGAGAAAGAATCTTTTAGAATTTCCATTAATGAGGGACTTGTATTGATAAACTATCCCGCTTTTTTTTTTTTTTTTTGGCTTTTTCATATTCTTGAAAACTAGCTTCACTGGTTATAAAATTTTAGGATGATAGTTATTTCCTCTCAGGCCATGGAAGACATTATTTCAGTGTCTTCTGGCTTCCATTGTTGGAAGCCATTGGTGAGACAGAGTTAAACCACATTATCACTGCTTTGTAAGTGGTTTCTCTTTTTTCTCTAGCTTATTTTAAGTCCTCTTTTTCTTTGGTGTTCTGCAGTTTTACATTAATGTATCTAAAAGTACATTGGGCTTTCTCAATCCAAAGATTGATATTTATCATTAAAACTGGAAAATTGGCCAGGCATGGTGACTCATGCCTGTAATTGCAGTACTTTAGGAGGCCAAGGTGGGCGGATCACCTGAGATCAGGAGTTCAAGACCAGCCTGGACAACATTAAACCCCATCTCTACAAAAATACAAAAAATTATCTGGGCCTGGTGGTGAACGTCTGTAGTCCCAGCTACACACAAACACAAAAACAAAAAATAAACCTGGAAAATTTTCAGCCATTGTATTTTTGGAATATTCCTCTTCTTAATTCCATTATCTGTTTCTGAAATTCTAATCAGATGCATGTGCGCGCGCGCGCGTGTGTGTGTGTGTGTGTATTTTTAAGAAATGGAGTTTTGCTATATTGCCCAAGCTGGCCTTGAACTCCTGGGTGCAAGCAATTCTCCTGCCTCAGCCTCCCTACTAGCTGGAATTACAAATGTGTTCCACTGCACCCAGCTTAGACGTATTTTTGCTTTTTACTCTATCCTCCAAATTTCTTATCCTCTCTTTCATAGTTTCCACCATTTTTACTTTCCGGATGACATTCTGAGTTTCTTTAGATCTGTCTTCTAGTTTCTCGTTAATCTCTTTAAATGCAACAATTGGCCAGGCCTGGTGGCTCACACCTGTCATCCCAGCATTTTGGGAGGCTGATGTGGGAGAATCTCTTGAGGCCAGGAGTTTGAGACCAGCTTGGGCAACATGGCAAAACCCTATCTTTACAAAAAAACACAAAAATTAGCCAGGCGTGGTGGTGCGTGCCTGCAGTCCCAGCTACTTGGGAGGCTGAGGCAGGAGGATTGCTTGAGTGAGGGAGATCAAGGCTACGGTGAGCCATGTTTGCACGACTGTACTCCAGCCTGGGTGACAAAGCAAGACCCTGTCTCAAAAAATAAAAATATAAATAAATGAATACAACAATTATAGTTGCCTTATACTCAGTGTGTAACTTCCCTGAAATTTAAATCCTGAGCAGATCACCTCAATCAACTGATCAAGCTCAGCACTGACATTAAGTGTCTCATGATGTGATGCAATATAAAGTATACAATATCACCTCTCAAGTGTTATTACCAACCCTCCAGGGCTACCTTTCATCTTAAAAGAAACAGGAATGGAGGTATAAATTAAATGACACCCTGAGGAAATAAAAAAGACAAATCCAGAATGTAAAACAACTGGCCTGCCTTTTTCAACAAGTCATATATCATGAAGAAAAAAAAAGTGTGAAAATTGATTGGATTTTTGTTCAAACAAATAAAACCCATCTTACCAGGGCAATTGGCAAAATTTGAATATGAGCTGCAGATTAGATGATATTATGAAATTATAGCTAATTTTCTTTAGATGACAATGTATTGTGGTTTTGTAAAAGATTGTCCTAATTCTTAGGAGACCTGTACTAAGATATTTAGAGCTAAGGTATCAGAATGTCATCAACTTATTTTCAAGAAGATTAACAAAAAATGAAATGTATATGTACACACATAGAGAGTAAGAGGAAATATAGCAAAATGTTAACAAGTATTAAACTAGGTAGAGGCTATATCGGTATTGTACTATTCTGTTAACTTTTCTATGTGTTTGTTTGACATTTGTATAATAAAAAAACCTTGGAGAGAAAAAACAATTCTGTACACAAGGGTCAAAATGACATTAATAGAGATTATTCGCTCTGGCAACAATACCCTAAAGAGACAATCTAAAAATTCTATTTTGCCATCTCCAAAGCTGTCCTGGTCTTCTCAATGTTTCTTTGGACTTTTCTTGGATTCATGTGACCTCCCCTATAGCTCTTCCTATTTAAGTTAGCCAGAGTAGGCTTCTGATACTTGCACCAAGGAAACCTTATTGATAGAGAGGTTATGCTACCTATCCTCCATTTGCTCACCACAGCCATGCTGCAAAGCCCTCGCTGACCTCTATGGATTGCATTATTCTGGCTCCCTGGCCCTCCCAGCTTCTGTCTGGGAGGTTGGGCAATGGCTGCATTCCTCTACCCAGGGGCACAGCTTCTGCTGAGTATTCTTCCCCATAGCCATAGTTCCTGCCAGATCCTAGTATTGGATCCTTCCTCTCTTTTGGCTGACGATGCCAGTCCTATGTGCTTCACAAACTATGATGTTCTTTTAACACCTGCCCACACTTTTATTCATATCTGCCTTATGTTAAACTTCCTTCAGTTAACTCTTTTTTTCTATATTTTTTATTGTGGCAAAAACACATAACATTAAAAACACTAAGCATTTTCAAGTGTACAGTTCAGTACTGTTAAGTATATTCACATTGTTGTGAAATAAATCTCTAGAACTTTTTCATCTTGCAAAACTGAAACTCTATACCCATTGAACAGTATTTATCCCTTCCTCTATCCATCAATACCCTTGGCAACTACCTTTCTACTTTCTGTTTCTGTGATTTTGACTACTTTAGATACTTCATATAAATAGAAGTGTACAGTATTTGTCTTTTTGTGAATGATTTATTTCATTTAGCCTAATGTTCTTAAGATTTATCCATGTGATAGCATATGACAGAAATCCTTTCTTTGTTAAGGCTGCGTAATATTCTCCATTCATCTGTCAATGGATGTTTTGGTTCTTTGGTTTATTTATTTATTTATTTATTTATTTATTTATTTATTTTGAGACCCTGTCTTACTCTGTTGCCCAGTTTGGAGTGCAGTAGCACGATCTTGGTTCACTGCAACCTCTGCCTCCCAGGCTCAGGCAATTCTCCTGCCTCAGCCACCTGAGCAGCTGGAATTACAGGCGTGCACCACCATGCCCGGCTATTTTTTGTATTTTTATTAGAGACGGGGTTTCACCATGTTGGCCAGGCTGATCTCGAGCTCCTGACCTCAAGTGATCCACCAGCCTCAGCCTCCCAAAGTGCTGGAATTACAGGTATGAGCCACCATGCCTGGCCAGTATTTTTAAATTTATACACGGTAAAATTCATTATTTTCTCGTGTATAGCTCTATGAGTTTAACAAATGCATAGAATTTTGTATTTTTTGTTTTGTTTTGTTTTTGGTGTGTATTTTTAGTAGAAATGGGGTTTTGCCATGTTGCCCAGGCTGGTCTTGAACTCCTGAGCTCAGGCAATCCACCCACCTCGGCCTCCAAAGTGCTAAGATTACAGGCATGAGCCACTGCGCCTGGCCAGAATTTTGGAAATGCCCCACAGTGAAGACACATATACCACCCAAAAACATTCTCATATTGCCCCTTCATAGTAAAACACTTCTTCTATACTTACCTCAGCAACCACTCATCTAGTCTCCAACCCTACAATTTTTCTTTTTCCAGGATGTCATATAAATGGAATAAACTAGTATGTAGTCTTTTGAGTCTGGCTTCTTTTACTAAGCATAATGCATTTGGGATTCATCTATACTATTCCACATATAATAGTTATTCCTTTTAATGGCTGAATAGTATTTCATTATATAGATACCATAATTCATTTATCCAACATTAATTGAAAGACATTTGATTTATTTTCCAGTTTTTAGAGATTATAAATAAAGCTGCTATGCACATTTGTGTATGGGTTTTAATATGAACACACATTTTTATTCATCTTGGAAAAATACATGAGTGGGATTGATGGGTCATATGGTAAGTATACGTTTAATCTTGTAAGAGACTGACAAACTGTTTTCCAAAGTGTCCAGGGCTGGTCCAAAGGTAGTGTGTTATCTCAATTGATTGTTCACAGTCAGTTACAGATTGAACTCCTTGTTCTCTTTCCCTCCTTCTCACTGCTGCACTTGACTAGTCTTCAAAACAACAAAGTGTCCAGGACACTGGATAGTGTGGCACTGTTTTGATAAGTCTTGAAACTAGGTAGTGTAAGACCTCCAATTTTGTTCTTCTTTTCCCATATGGATTTTAGAATAAGCTCATCAATATCCTTAAAAAAAATCTGCGGGTATTTTGATTGTAATTGCTTTGAAACTATAGATCAATTTGGGGACAATTGACAGCTTCGTATTTTAAAAATCTAACATTGTTGGCAAACTTACTGCTGCATCCTAATGTTTTTATAGTTGCACCCTAATGTTTAAATACCTTCATGAAAGAGAAGTCTAGAATTTATTTATTTATTTATTTATTTTTGAGGCAGAGTCTTGCTCTGTTGCCAGGCTGGAGTGCAATGCGCAATCTCAGCTCACTGCAACCTCCACTTCTCAGGTTCAAGTGATTCTCCCGCCTCAGCCTCCTGAGTAGCTGGGACTACAGGCTCATGCCACCACGCCCAACTAATTTTTGTATTTTTAGTTGAGACGGAGTTTCACCATGTTGGCCAGGATGGTCTCGATCTCTTGACCTCATGATCTGCCCTCCTTGGCCTCCCAAAGTGCTGGGATTACAGGCGTGAGCCACTGCGCCCGGCCGAATTTATTTATTTTTTAAAGGAATTTAGTAACTAGGCATTTAAATCTACACCGAGTTTCTGGAAGGCAGAGGCTGTATGCCACTTATATTTGAATCACAGTGTACAAAAGATTCAAGATACAGAGCAGGACCTCAATAATGGCTTGCAGATTAAATATTTAAACATGAGGCTTTTAAATAATTCTACTTACGTTTTCAGACATGATGAAGAATAGGGCATATGGAACTTTCATGAGGCAAGAAGAAGAAACAACTACTTTTCCTTTCTAAAAAGAGCTATGGTAATGGTCCCTGGTGCAAGTAGGAGTAAGAAGACAGCATAAACGGTCCCCAAACTTGTCACTCACAAGACTTAGATTCCCAAAATGTGAAGGCAAATTATTTTATAGGTGAGGATCATACAGTGACACAATGTGACTAATTTCTTGTATGTCAATATATACCTACACAAAAATTTGAGTCCAAAACAAAAAACTTCTAATACAGCAGGTTATGTTTGTTGGTTTTTGTCATGTATAAAAATTGTACATTCTTTTATTTGACTTCCTTAGTGAATTTCTTTTTAGGATTTCCCTTTAAGAGAAAAATCATTACTCAATTAGTTTGCTGAAAAGCCTACATTTTGGTTTATTATTTTATTTATTTATTTTTTGAAACAGAGTCTTGCTATGTCATCCCGGCTGGAGTGCAATGGCACGATCTCGGCTCACTGCAAACTCCGCCTCCTGGGTTCAAGCAATTCTCCTGCCTCAGCCTCCCGAGTAGTTGGGATTACAGGCGCCCACTACCATGCCCAGCTAATTTTTGTATTTTTAGTAGAGATGGGTTTTTGCCATATTGGTTAGGCTGGTCTCGAACTCCTGACCTCAGGTGATCCTCCCACCTCGACCTCCCAAAGTGCTGGGATCACAGGCGTGAGCCACTGTGTCCGACAGGTTTATTGTTGAATAATACTACAGTGATCGTCATCAACCAATTTTCACGTAGTTGTATTTCCAAGTTAGATGCTAAGGAATATATTACATCCTTTCCAACACATAGATGGCATCAAATTATTTTACTAGTGATTATGTGACCAAGGTAGCCAAAGGAGTAAAAATTATTATTTTTTCTTCACTGCTGTAGGATTTGATGTGCTTCAAGCAATTTTTTTTCTTTTTTCTTTTTTTTTTTTGAGACAGAGTCTCGCTCTTGTCACCCAGGCTGGAGTGCAGTGGCACGATCTGGGCTCACTGCAACCTCTGCCTCCTGGGTTCAAACCATTCTCCTGCCTCAGCCTCCCGAGTAGCTAGGATTACAGGCAACCGACACCACGCCCGGCTAAATTTTGTATTTTTAGTAGAGATGGGGTTTTGCCATGTTGGCCAGGCTGGTCTCCATCTGTTGACCTCGTGATGGTCTGTATACATAGGCAGTGCCTATGTATGCAGACTACTGTATATGACTGCTAACTAGGTCTAGACGAAAATATGAGTCTATAAATTCTTTGTTAATTGGACATTTTAAATTATTTTTCCAATTACAGTGGTGGATTTGCACAGATTATTTTATTCTCTTTTTAGGCCCCATTTTGCTCAAGAAAAGACCCTTGTCAAGCAGTTGGCTGGGGTCAGGGGTGCATGTTATGATTAAGGAAACTAGTAGAGATAAATGAGCCACACCGGGATTAAAAACTATGACCTCATTGACAAAGAGTTCCAACTAACCAGCACAGAGATAATAAATATATACTTCTTGGAACTTTGCTTGCTCTCTTTTCCACAAGTGTTTTCTCTTTGGTCGTTGAAGTATGAAGACATTTTATTCTCTCTAAACTTCCAGCAGAACTCTTCGTGCCAGAGATAGCACATTCCATCCTCTGTGTACTATTAGTAGTAAACAATAAAATGACCATCATAGAGTCTAAGTGTTTTTTGCCTCATAAAAGGAATTTAGAGGAGTCTTTGGACGAAAGTCACCATACTGAGTATAGAAGTAGTATTGTATTACTGTGCAGAGTATTATCACACCAAAGATTATGAGGCACACACACTTTACTGAGAGGCCTTTGTGGGTCAAGTTCATGTAGTGAAAACAGACATGGCATTTTAAATTATGTAAATTTATGGAATTATAGATTTTTCTCTTAGAAAATGAATAAATCCTTTATATAATTCCCAGGATAAAGAATAATAATGAAACTTGTGGAAGGAAAGTTCTAACATATTCATTACTTTTAAACAACACCAAGTTGTTTTCAGAGTTGGTAAAAATTTCTGTTTTTAAAAATTACTTCTGGTTTTAAAAATTACTTCTATTTCAAATGAATCATTAGGTGAACAGGCCCACATAAAAGGTGAGTGAACATAGAAAAAGAAGAGGAAAGAGGACATGAATTGATAATTTGTCAAAATGTGGTTGTGTGACACTTTGGGTTCCAAAGAACAAACGTTCATTCAGTCTTAGGGAAAAAGGGTTCGACCGTAAGGACATATATGGTTTAAAATTACAAGCCATTTCACAGCCAAGGCAATTCTAGGACTGACTACACCAGTGTCCACATATTCTCTCTCTCCTTTGAGCATTAATCTTTTAAGTACGTTAGACTGTTAATTCATCAGTGTGGAGTGCATCTACTGGGTAGATTCTGACTCAAGTGTCCACCCTAGACAGAGGTATTTAGCTTCTTCTCTTAGGAGGACAATAGGAGGCAGAAGAGTCTATGTCATACTAGTTAGCATAGGTCCCACATCTTTTAAAAGCAAAAATAGGCCGGGGTAGGGTGGCTCACGCCTGTAGTCCAAGCACTTTGGGAGGCCAAGGCAGGAGGATCCCTTGATAGAGCTCAGGAGTTCAAAACTGCAGTGAGCTATGATCGTGCCACTGCATTCCACCCTGGGCAACAGAGTGAGACTCCTGTCTCTAAATAAATAAAATGAAACCCCAAATAGCCCTCCACATTAATAAAAATTATATATGCCTAATATTCACTACAATGGACAAAAGTGTATGCATGTAATTGAAGACAAAAAGGGACTATGAGAAATAAAAAATAGTTTTTCAAAGTGGTGAGATTATGATTAGCTTTTTTCTCTGTTTTTTCCAATGTTGTTTTAATATTTTGATGATTTAAGAAAGCTTTAAAAACATTTAGAATAATGAAGATAATTTAGCAATGCTCATGCTTTTCAACCGATTATCTCCAGTTATTTTATTTTTCAAATAATTTTAAACTCAAGCAATAGAGTCAATTAAATTTAGGAAATGTGTGTAAGATGTGTTTAACCAACATTCTAATTGAAGATGAGTCAATAGTCATTCCAGTCAGTTTCCTCATGTTACAGAGGGAATTCATTATTTGGAAGTGCTATACATACTTTAAAAATAAAATCCCAGATATATTTGTGTCCCTCTCACACAAGCTGTTAAAATATTTGCCCGTCCCTCTATATAGCTGTAGTCACAGGCATGTTAACGTTTTCTGTAAAATAGATCAAAATATAAAGAAACATTAGGAAAATACAGCTGTTAGAAAGAGGAGGGGAGAGTACACAATGTATTTATAGCAAGTGTATATATTATATCAAGTAGAACAGACACCCAGCCTTTTATGAGCAGTTTTAACTCTGACATGCATGAGTTTTAAATAAGAAATAACTATAGAAATCTCCAAAGAATTTTAAAAATCCCAGGCCGAGCATGGTAGCTCACGCCTGTAATCCCAGCACTTTGGGAGGCCGAGGCGGGTGGATCATGAGGTCAGGAGTTCGAGACCAGCCTGGCCAATATGGTGAAATCCCGTCTGTACTAAAAATATAAAAATTAGCTGGGCGTGGTGGCATGAGCCTGTAGTTCCAGCTGCTCGGTAGGCTGAGGCAGGAGAATCGCTTGAACCCGGGAGGTGGAGGTGGCAGAGAGCCAAGATCACACCATTGCACTCCAAGCTGGGCGACAGAGTGAGACTCTGTCTCAAAAAAAAAAAAATAAAAATAAAAATAAAAATTCCATCAGTTGGTTATGAGCTTTTTGCTTTATTATAAGTGATGTTTAATTGATTTTTGTTTTCAGATTCCAAAGAAAATTCCAAAACTAGTTTTCATAGCCAGCAGATACATTTCTAAGTGCTTGGGATGATGAATCACATAAAATATGTATTTTTGAGAGTGTTTAATTACAATGATTGTTCACCAATTAAATAATTTCCATTTATGTTTCTAATAAAACTCTCAGGTAAATTATAAGAAGTTAGTTTCTTAATCATATGATAAATGGACCGTATTCTAAAATTCTGATTAATATTTCTGAAGGATTCATGATAAGGAAGCAATGTTCTTACCAAGTTTGTTTAATTGTTAGATGGAAATTGTATTTGTCTGCCACCTGGGGGATTCATGGAAACATTGCAATTGACAAAATTCATAGTCACAAAAATATTGCAATATATGTGTTAATAGTGTTGTATTTGTTTTATGAATGATGTTGGCTGACACACACACACACACACACACACACACACACACACATAATTGTGGGCAAAAAAGTAGTTGCAAAACCAATAGACTTGTGTTCTGGATGTCGAGTGAAGAAAATGTTTCCAGGCCGGACACAGTGGCTCATAGCTATAATCCCAGCACTTTGGAAGGCTGAGGCAACAGGATCACTTGAGGCCAGGAGTTCAAGATCAGCCTGGGCAACAAAGCGAGACCCTCATCTCTACAAAAAAACTTAAAAATTAGCTGGGCACAGCAGTGCATGCCTGTAGTCCTAGTCACTTGGGAGGCTGAGGCAGGGGGATTGCTTGAGCTTGAGGCCACAGGGAGCCATGATTTGTGCCACTGCACTCCAGCCTGAGTGAAAGCAAGACCTTGTTTTATTTATTTATTTTTATTTTCACTGTTAAGACTTTGTTGTGTGTGTGTGTGTTTTTAAAAAAAGGTTCCAAAAGAAGGGAGTGATCAACTTCATCAAATACTGCTGGTAGAATCCCATAAGATAAAGAGGACTAAAACTGACCAGTGCATTTGGCAATTGGGAAGTCATAGGTGACCAGGAAAAGAGCTGTTCCTGGATGTTTTATAGTTGTTATTGCTATTGTGAGGAAATCTTTCTATTTATGATTTTTTTCTTTTTTTTTTTTTTTTGAGATGGAGTCTCACTCAGTCTCCCAGGCTGGAGTGCAGTGGCGAGATCTCAGCTCACTGCAAGCTCCACCTCCCGGGTTCACGCCATTCTCCTGCCTCAGCCTCCCCAATAGCTGGGACTACAGGCGCCCCCCCCACCACGCCCAGCTAATTTTTTTTTTTGTATTTTTTAGTAGAGATGGGGTTTCACCGTGTTAGCCAGGATGGTCTCGATTTCCTGACCTTGTGATCCACCCACCTCAGCCTCCCAAAGTGCTGGGATTACAGGCGTGAGCCACCGTGGCTGGCCTACTTATGATTTTTTTCTAATCATCAATTTACATTTTTTGAAACAGGGTCTCTCTCTGTTGCCCAGGCTGGAGTGCAGTGGTGTGATCATAGCTCACTGCAACTTTTAACTCCTGGGCTCAAGCAATCCTCCCATTTCCCAAGCAGCTGGGACCACAGGCATGCGACACCAAAATCAGCTAATTTTTAAAATTTTTTGTAGAGGGGTCATGCGATGTTGCCCAGGTTGGTCCCAAACTTTTGTGCTCAAGTGATCTTCCCCTCTTGGCCTCCCAAAGTGCTGGGATTACAAGCGTGAGCTACCACACTCAGCCCCCTTATATCTTATGTGAATATGGAAGAGAATGTCATTATTCACAGAAAATACAAATTGACCATTTTGGGATTGTCACAATGTCTGTAATTTATTTTCATATTATTCTGTGAACAAAACCTCAAACTGTAATACTAAAAGACTCTAGGCAGAAAAATAAAAATAAAAAATAATCTGGCTCCCCCTGCCAAAAAAAAAACTATGTACGTAAATACATACATATAAAGCAAACACACTAAAATGTTAATCAAGGTGGTAGTTATACAGGTATTCATTGCATTATTATTTAAACTTTTATCTCTATATTTGTTAAAAACACTGGAAAAAATGAGGGCCAGGCGCCATAGCTTACACCTGTAATCCCAACACCTTGGGAGGCCAAGGCAGACGGATTGCTTGAGTCCAGGAGTTCAAGACCAGCCTGGGCAACATGGTGAAACCCTGTCTCTACTAAAAATACAAAAATTAGCCAGGCATGGTGGCAGGCGCCCATAATCCTAACTACTCAGAAGGCTGAGGTAGGAGAATCGCTTGAACCTGAGAGGCAGAGGTTGCAGTGAGCCAAGACCGTGCCACTGCACTCCAGCCTGGGCGACAGAGGGGGACCCTGTCAAAACAAAACAACAAACTGGAAAAAATGGCATTTGAGACAAACTTTGAAAGAGTATGAATACTGTTTTAAGACTTTGTTGTTCTTACATCAGTTCAATAAAGAAAAATCAGAAAACAGATAAAAAGAGTAAATTTATGTGACACACAATGTAGATATAACCACTTTTAATTTTTTTAAGCTATATACAGGTTGAGGCTGGATGTGGTGGCTCACGCCTGTAATCCCAGCACTTTGGGAGGCCAAGGCCAGTGGATCACCTGAGGTCAGGAGTTCAAGACCAGCCTGACCAATATGGTGAAATCCTGTCTCGACTAAAAATACAAAAATTAGCCCGGTGTGGTGGTGGGAGCCTGTAATCCCAGCTACTAAGGAGGCTGAGGCACGAGAATCACTTGAACCCAGGAGGCAGAGCTTGCAGTGAGCCGAGATCGCACCACTGCACTCCAGCCTGGGTGAAAGGGCGAGACTCAGTGTCAAAAAAAAAAAAAAAAAAAAAAAAAAAAAAAATATATATATATATATATATATATATATATATATATATATATATATATATTTATAACAGGTTGAGTATCCCTAATTCAAAAATCTGGGCCAGGCGCGTTAGCTCACGCCTGTCATCCCAATCCTTGGGGAGGCCGAGTTGGGTGGATCACTTGAGGCCAGGAGTTCAGACCAGCTTGGCCAACATGGTGAAACCCCTTCTTTACTAAAAATACAAAAAAATTAGCCAGGGCGGTGGCAGGCGCCTGTAGTCCCAGGTACTTGGGAGGCTGAGGCAGGAGAGTGGAGTGAACCCAGGAGGCGGAGCTTGGGAGCTTGCAGTGAGCCGAGATTGTGCCACTGCACTCCAGCCTGGGCGACAGAGCGAGACTCCGTCTCAAAAAAAAAAAAAGAAAAAGAAAAAATACAAAAATTAGCCGGGCGTGGTGGCGCACGCCTGTAATCCCAGCTACTCAGGAGGCTGAGGCAGGAGAATCGCTTGAACCTGGGAGGTGTAGGGTGCAGTGAGCCGAGATCGCACCACTGCACTCCGGCCTGGGCGACAGAGCAAGACTCTGCCTCAAGAGAAAAAAAAAAAAAAACCTAAATGTTCCAAAACTCAAAACGCTCCAAAATCTAACTTTTTAAGCACTGACATGACTCTCAAAGGAAATGCTCATTGGAGTATTTCAGATTTTGGATTTTCAGATTAGGATGCTAAAGTGGTAAGTATATATACGTAAAACACTTTCATATTCTGCTTTTCTTCATTTAATACGGTGGTTGCCTTTCTGTCAGTCATCGTACATTAGCATCAGTTTGCTGTGTGATATTCCATTGCAGAGATAAATCTTGTGATATTTTTAACCAGTCCTCCATTGCTGGATGGTGCAATGAACATCTGTTAATACATATCTTTTGCTCATGTGTCTGATTATTTTAAGGGTAAGATTTCAGCCTGTGGAAAGGGAGTAAGTGTAAGTTTGAGCAGAGGAAAGGAGACCTAAAAGAATAAGGCGAGTCTGGGAACAGTTCACTAGGTTATTTTAGGGCATTGGACCCCCGTAGGCGAGAAATGCTTGCAGACATCTAACGATGACGCTTAAATGGAAGAGCAGTTTGAGAAGATTTAGTATCATTTAATTTTTTATTTTTTATTTTTTTTGAGACGGAGTCTCGCTCTGTAGTCCAGGCTGGAATCTCGGCTCACTGCAACCTCCGCCTCGCGGGTTCAAGCGATTCTCCTGCTTAAGCTTCCCGAGTAACTGGGACTACAGGCGCAAACCACCACGCCCGGCTACTTTTTTTGTATTTTTGGTAGAGACGAGATTTCACCAAGTTGGCCAGGTTGGTCCTGAATTCCTGACTTTATTTATTTATTTTCTGAGACGGAGTCTCGCTCTGCCGCCCAGGCTGGAGTGCAGTGGCGCGATCTCGGCTCACTGCAAGCTCCGCCTCCCAGGTTCACGCCAGTCTCCTGCCTCAGCATCCGGAGTAGCTGGGACTACAGGCGCCCGCCACCACGCCCGGCTAATTTTTTTTTGTGTGTGTGTGTATTTTTAGTAGAGACGGGGTTTTACCGTATTAGCCAGGATGGTCTCATCTCCTGACCTTGTGATCCGCCCGCCTCAGCCTCCCAAAGTGCTGCGATTACAGGCGTGAGCCACCGCACCTGGCCTAGAACTCCTGACTTTAAATGATCCATCCGTTTTGGCCTCCCAAACTGCTGGGATTACAGGCGTGGGCCACCGCGCCCAGTCAATCTCATTTAATCTTAATGCCAGGTACTGTTCTAACACTTTTCTATGTATAATTTATTTCACTTGCAGGTACTATTATTATTCCCATCTATAGGCCAGAAAGCTGAGGTACGAAGTTTAATTACCAGAGTTACTTATCTTCGTTAAAATCCAAGCAGTCTGGGCTACAAACAATTATACCTACTTTGCAGTCAAGGAACCAAGCTGAGATGTTGAGCTGAAAACCCAGGTCTCAGACTTCAAAGCTTTCTACACAAGAGTCGACGGTGGCAGTAAAAATTAATGGGGGCTTGATCTATCCCTCCCACCCCCAAGAAAAGTAAAAAGCAGGAGCTGGGACCAGAGAAAACCTCCACGGAGTCCTTATCCCCTAAATATAAGAGGCATTTAACGTTTAGCATTGCTGACCTGCAATCAGGCTTCAACTGTGAGTAGCCAGGCTCTAAAGCTTGATAACTGAATTCCAAAAAGCGCGCGAGCCTCCAGGCGAAACAGCTTCCCGCCTTCCAGCCGGTTGGAGCCGGCTCAGCAACAGCCTCTCCAAGCCAGGGTAGTGACGTCAGCCCAGGAATTGGGCCCGCCCCGGGATCTCGCTGCTTTCTGCACGCTCGGAATAACCAGAGTCGCGAAATTAGCCCCGCCCACTGCCCCGGAAGTTAATGCGGAAGCCACACACCTCCTCCTCGGCCGGCAGGGGCGCAGCCATTTTAATTCATATTTGAGTGGGCGGTGGCGATTGGTGTTGGCGGTCTGGCTCAGCTGGGCAGGGGGTAACTTTACTGATTTGGGGGTGGTTTTTAGTTTAATTTTTCTTTTCTAGCTTCCCATCGACGGTCAGTGCGCACGTTGTAATCAGCTGAGGCCATGTCAGGAGACGGAGCCACGGAGCAGGTGAGGAAGGAGAGTGGTGGGGCCTCGTGGCGACCTCTTCTCCACGTCTGTTCCTCCGACTGCTCCAGACATGTTCGGCTGAGGAAGGAATTGGGTCTAGTGAACCCGGGGGACAGGGTATATAGAAGAGTGGTGGGAATGGGGAGCAAGATCTAAGATTTAATTTTTTTTTTTTTACTTCTCTCTCTTAGGCATGAATACGAGTAAATACTTGATTTAGACAATAGCGGTAGGCTGCTTCGTCCTATTTAGATTCATGGGACTACTCCAGATGGGATGCTTTCCTTTGATATCGTTTTGGTATTAGAGTGGATAGGAATTATTTTAACGTGCACCCGACGTTTTAGAAAAACTTGACAGTGTTTCTTTTACCCCGCCAAATATACTGTACCCAGAAATAGGTTACTAGTTTGAGAAATATTTGAGACAAAGCTAATCTGGAGAATTAAGACTTAATGAGAGCGAGTGAAGAAAGAAGCAAGTTATGCTGAGGTTTTGGGAATTTTGTGGCTTTCTTTCGTTTTCTTTTCTTTTAGCCACATTTCGTTTTCATTTTTCCAGCTACATAAACATTGCAGGTATAAGTTGAAAATGAGAAGTCTGTTTTGGCCACTGTAAATAAAAGCATCTGTTTTAATAGTAAATATGAGTGACAACTAAATATTTTAAAATTCACACTTTTAGGTTAGATCAGTGTGATTTGTTTCTTTTGCTCTTTGTATTCAGAATTTTGTAGGATAGTATTTACCTTTTAGTGTGAAAGAGGAAGCTAAATAGTTATGAAAAATGCCATTAAATGTGTTTTTCGATCTAAGTCCTGGTGTGTTTAGATAAATACAGTTTCTAAAATGGAGGCTAGGTAGCCTGCAGTCTCAATTTCCTGAAATTTCCCATTGCCATAGCAACGACATGCACTTAGGTTTTCGTTTTTCAGGTTCCCTAGCTTATAACGTGGAAGATGTTATTGGAGGTTGGCAGAGATGAGGCAAAATAGGAGCGTTCTATTGCATAGTCTGTAAGACTGTAGATTTCATTATGTCGGCAGTTTGATTAAATTGTTTTGTGTTTGCCCGAGGACTGGTTTCAGTCCAGAAATCTTCGCACTATTTACATTTTACATAGTGTTAGCATGCCCAAGCATGCAAAGTCTTAAAATTACTGTATCAAAACTGTTTACCCCTTTTCTGATCTAGTATTTGTTATCTGAAAGTGAAGGACTAATGAACTGAGGTTTCATTGAAAGTTTTCGAAATTCATTGTTAATTCTTAGAATTTATCTAAAATTACAAAGACACGGAAATGTTACCATGACCTCTTGAATGTTTTAGAACTGTGGTGTTTCAGTGGGACAGATGGTGGTGAAAATTTATAGAAAAATAATTTCTCCCAAAGGTTTTATTGTGCAAAGTTTAGAACATAGAGAAAAGTTGAAAGAAAAGTGCAGTGAACACCTGTAGGACAACTCTTCGCCTGGAATCAACAGCTGAAAGCCTTGCCATATTTGCTTTATCTCCCCATGCTGATAGATTGAGAACAGAGTCTTTGTCACTCACACTAGAGTGCTGTGACGCCATCACAGCTCACCATAGCTTCGACCTCCCTGCGCTCTGTGATCCTGCCACCTCAGCCTCCTCCGTAGCTGGGAGTACAGGCGCGCGCCACCATGCCCAGCTAATTTTTTTTTTTTTTTTTTTTTTTTTTTTGAGATGGAGCCTTGCTCTGTCGCCCAGACTGGAGTGCAGTGGCGCGATTTCGCCTTACTGCAGCCTCCGCCTCCCGGTTCAAGCGATTCTCCTGCCTCAGCCACCCCAGTAGCTGGGATTACAGGCGCCCACCACCATGCCCCGCTAATTTTTGTATTTTAAGTAGAGACGGGGATTTTGCCACGTTGCCCAGGCTGGTCTCGAACTCCTGACCTCAAGTGATCCGCCTACCTCTGCCTTCCAAAGTGCTGGATTTACAGGCGTGAGCCACCGTACCTGGCCTAATTTTTGTATTTTTTTTGTAGAGACAGGAATTCACCATGTTGCCCAGCCTGGTCTGGAACTCCTGGGCTCAAGCGATTCACCCACCTCAGTGTCCCCAAGTGTTGGGATTACAGACAGGCACGAGCCACCACGCCTGGTCCACGCATGTTTATTTGAAAGTATTTTGACACATTGCAGCCCCAAGTATTTCAGCATTCTCTTATAAATAAGAGCAAAATGTTGTTACATAACCACCATACCATTTCCCCACCCAAGAAAATAGTATTTCTAAAATCTAGTTCTTTAAATTTCCCCATTTGTCCCAAGAATGTGATTTTTTTTTTAACCAGAATCAATCTAGATTTACATATTGAATCATTTACTTCTGTCTCTTAAGTAGTCTCACCATTCTTCTCCCCTGGGGCTGTTGTCTATTCGAAGTGTCAAGGACACTTAACACTGCTTTTCTGGGTGTATTTGTTTTTTGTTGTTTGTTTGCTTGCTTGCTTTTGGTTTGGGGGTTGATGATGTCATTTAACTTGTCCCTTCATCTGTATTTCCTGAAAACTTTACAGTTAGGTCTATACTCAGCCTTGATATTTGGGTTAAGTATTTTTGGATAGAATACTTAACATTATATCATTACATTAGCAGGTACTTCTGCTGGGTTCTGTTAGGATGGTTAAGTTTGATCACTTGGTTTAGGGTGATCTCATTGTTAAGGGTCATGTTCCCCTTTGCAGTTAATAATCTGTGAGTTGATAACCGTTTTCTTTAAAATCACCTTATACCTAGTTATCAATTGATAAATCTTGACTAAATCAGCTCTTACATTGGAAGTAGCAAATGGTGGTTTTGTTTTGTTTTTAAAACCCACAATTCTGTTGGTCTGTGTCTGTTTACTGGCTCATACTTTCTGCAAAAAAGACTTTTTTTCTTCCTAAAGATTAAGTATCGCTATGGATTCATGGATTTCTCTTAGTGTGTTAGTATCAGTGATAGCCATTTTTCTTTTGCACACTCAACTTGTCCAAACCTTTTTGGTGGTTCTTATATCTTTTCCTTAAGTCTGAAAGGCAATTTAGACATCTGATTATCAACAAGGAAGTCATCTTCATATAGCCTTTTCTTTAACTTTTTAATAATACATTTCAAACATGTAAGAAAAACAGTATAATATATGAAGTACCTGTCATAGAGCTTCAATTTATGGCTAATCTTGTTTCCTCCATGACTTCATTTGCTTCTCTCACCCCCATTACTTCGAAGCAAATCCTAGATACTGTATTCAGCTTCAACTAAAATAACCATTAAATAACACCTTAAGGATGGAAAATATGAATGAGCTGTACCTTGCTTGATATTTAAGACAATATTGAAAATCTGGAGGAAAAGAGAGTATCCAAAATAACCTGAAATCATGGATGAGAAAAATAAACTCAATGAGACTAAAGAATAATAAGAAAAAAATTAAAACCATTGAATCATGGATTTGCTTTGGAAAAATGCCAAGGGATGGGGTGGACAAAGAGTCCTACAAGATGCAGGTGTAGATTTAGCCTTTTAGTAGCATTGAAGTTCAAGTTTGTAGAATAAACCTGATACTATCTTAAATTTATTACTAAAATATATGGATAGTCATTTTTCTCTTGGTGCTAAGATTTGTGATTTGTGCCCCCTAACAGAGGGAAATTATTGCAGACAAGCAAAATCACTGCTAAAGGTTTATTGCTGTGATTTTTTTTTCAACTCTAGTAGGGAAGTTCAATTTTGCATGTAGAGAGCTATTGGAATTACCTTATAGTGTTCAAGGATCTCTTCTGAAGCTCCTTGCTTATTGTTTTTGCCAGTTTAATGGTGAAAAAACTATTTGCATATAGGTTTACCCCCCTAACAAACATATGATTTCTGTGTGGAATTATGGCTGTATTATTTATTTCATGGTTTTGTTTTTTTGTGTTTGTTTTTTGTTTTTTTGAGATGGAGTCTTGCTCTGTTGCCCAGGCTGGAGTGCAGTGGCACGGTCTCGGCTCACTGCAACCTCCGCCTCCCAGGTTCAAGCAATTCTCCTGCCTCAGCCTCTTGAGTAGCTGGGATTACAAGCACACGCCACAATGCCCGGCTAATTTTTTTGTATTTTTAGTAGAAATGGTGTTTCACCATGTTGACCAGGCTGGTCTTGAACTCCTGACCTCAAGTGATCTGCCTGCCTCAGCCTCCCAAAGTGCTGGGATTACAGGCGTGAGCCACTGCGCCCAGCCTGTGGTGTTTGTTTTTTTTAATGCCTGATTCAACTTTTGATCTCATTCTTAGGTCTATTTAACCTTGTGCACTACTCTTAAGGCATTTAATATGCTGTTATTTAGACATTTTCCATTGGGTTTTGAACTTCTTTAGTTGAAGAGATGATGTTATTCATCTTTATGTCTTAAAGACCTAAGAAATAATATTTTGATGCTTAAAGGTATTCAGTAAATGAATGGATTAAGTTTGCATCTTTTAAAAAAAATTATTTATTTACTATTTAGGTAGAGACGAGGTCTCACTGTGTTTCCCAGGCTGGTCTTGAACTCCTGGACTTAAGTGATCCTCCTGCCTCAGCCTTCCAAACTGTTGGATTACAGGTGTGAGTCCAGCCATATTTCACCTTTTAAATAATGTATAACTTATCCTAGAATTTGGAAGGCCTAAAATACAAGCCAAATGATCCTCAGCTTGGAAAAGCTACATGATTCTAAGAAGCGCAAATTAATTGCTGGTAGTTCTTAACAAAGGAGCATTTAGGCTCATAAATACGTGTTTTTAGTGAAAAATAATTTTGGGAAGATTTAGAAAATAATGAAGAGTATGTGTCCTATTATATACTTATTATTAATAAGGAAAGAAAAAGTTGAAACACCCACAGCATTGAAACCTGAAACCTGGTTTATTTCGTTAGGTAAACATTAGTACTTAAGCTGTTTAGAAGTAACAGTATCGCCAATTTTAGTCAAGGTGCATATATGTGTAGGGGTTAGAAGAGGCAGAGAAAGAGCCAACTATGTGTGTTGGACAATGTGTTTTTTTGGATTTATTTTTTCCAAAATCTTTCTGTAACAGCCCTTCCTAGTTTTCTGCCTCCTATTTTTAGTGATGCTTGTTTGGTGTAACAGTTTTGGGCAGGCAAATTGATTTGATCTTTATTGTTGATATTTCTTAGGAAACTGGAGCATTATCAAATATTCTGTTTGGGGACAGTTGTTCCTAAGAGAAGTTGCTCTGTGCTTAAAGAATGAGAATTGGGTTTTTCTTAGAGATACAGCAGAAAGGTACTGTGTTAGGTGATACTGCATTCCTTCAACATTATTTCAGGGAATGTAGGCATTTACATCCCAGATAGACCTTCAGAAGGGCAAAATCTGTATTTGGGTGTTTTTACCTATTGGACAATTACCCATACCAATTCATGATTTTAAGCTTTTTTTTTTAAATCTTCGATTTGGTGACGGTGATTTTAAGCTTTTCTACCATGTCTCTGAATCTTTCTCTTTAGATAGGACCTACCTGTGAATTTGAGTCTTTTTGTTTTGTTTTGTTGGACAGTTGGTAATGGTGTGAGAATTGGGCTAAAAAAGGGATTTGAGTTGGCAGTTGTTTAAACTATCTTTAGATTAATGGACAACTTAGGATACATAGTAAATATTGAATAAAATCAGAAGGGCAAAGCTTCTGTGTGTCCTAATTAATGTTTTTCTAATGTTTGACTTAGTTTATTTAGTGTATTAAATCTGGATTATTCATATTTGAAAGAAGTCTCATCTTTTAAGTTCCAAACGGTTAAGATTTTAATTTATATTTTGTAGCTATTTGTTTCCTAGGGGATGAATATGCAAGTTTACTAAGCAGATAATGGTAAATATAATTATTTGAACTAATATGTTAAGCCAAGATCTTTTTTTTTTTTTTAATTTTTTTATTTTTATTTTTTCGAGACAGAGTCTTGCACTTTCGCCCAGGCTGGAGCACAGTGGCGCAATCACGGCTCGCTGCAAGCTCCGCTTCCTGGGTTCACGCTATTCTCCTACCTCAGCCTCCCTAGTAGCGGGGACTATAGGTGCCCGCCACCACGCCCTCACGCCCAGCTAATTTTTTATATTTTTAATAGAGATGGGGTTTCACTGTGTTAGCCAGGATGGTCTTGATCTCCTGACCTCATGATCCGCCCGCCTTGGCCTTCCAAAGCGCTGGGATTACAGGTGTGAGCCACCATGCCCGGCCCAAGATCTTTTTTTTTTTAAGTTTTTGAGTTGTTTGTATGTTTAGATTTTTAATCTATGGATGATTTGGAGGGATTAGTTTTGTATTGTAGGATACATGTTCAGTTTCATTCACAACAAACATGAAGTAGGGTTTGGTTGCATTGGTAAAGGAACACAGAACTAAGCTGACATCTGGTCCTAATATCCGGTCTCATTGTGACACCTGTCACATATAGTTCTTTATTATCTGGGCATATGAATGGAATCAGTTAGGTTACTCCTCTATGAAAGTCTCAGCACGGCACCGTGGCTCACGCCTGTCTGTAATCCCAGCACTTCGGGAGGCTGAGGCTGGCGGATCACTTGGTCAGGAGTTTGAGACCAGCCTGGCTAGTATGGTGAAACTCCGTCTCTACTAAAAATACAAAAATTAGCTGAGTGTGGTGGTGCATACCTGTAATCCCAGCTACTTGGGAGGCTGAGGCAGGATAATCACTTGAACCCGGGAGTCGGAGGTTGCAGTGAGCCAAGGTACAGCCACTGCACTCCAGCCTAGGTGACAGAGTGAGACTTCATCTCAAAAAAAAAAAAAAAAAAAAAAAGAAAGTCTTACGGAGTGCTACTCCGGTCTACTTTTAATTTTGAAAAAAAGTTAACCACAGAGAGAGACTTAAGACTTCAAATATATAGTATATTCAGTTTTCTTAATATTTTAGCAAAAAATTCACTTGGAATGACAGGTTTGTTGCCACCTTATTTTTAATGAAACGTGACATTTGGAAAACATTTGTGGAACAGATAGATGAGGTGGTACATATTTCTTAAAGTGGAGCCCATGGCCCATTTATGTCATAATTAGGTGCGTTATAAAAGTATAGATACGTAGACTCTGATTTCAAACCTAACTGTTCAGTGGGGCTGAGAATCTTCGTTTGAAACAGGTACCACAGTGGTTTTTATGTCAATAAAAGCTTGCAGACCACAGAGTTAGATGATAGCTGGTTGTTTTAAAATATATTCTTGATAAATAAGTGGATGAAAAAATGGCAGATATTTGAGGATGGTATTTTACTGATTTTTCCTGCCCACCTGCTCCCCACCCCCATATATTTAGTTATTACCCTGAATAGCGAGAAATACTCATTATAAAACCAGGGTTGAGGCTCAACTCTGCTTTTTCTGTTGGTCATAGTAAAAAGCTTACATCGTCTTAAATCTTTCAGTCTACCATCTTTCTCCCCCTCTATTCATACTTTTGTGTTATCACTTTAACTGATCCCTACTTTAACTTAATTTCAGTATGGCTCCTAATATAACACCCTTCTAATTTATCATGAAAGTAGCTATTTGGAGAAAGAGAATTATCTTTTTTTTTTTTTTTGTCTGTTTTACCTGCATGGTCGAAATGGAAGAAATTAGATTATTATTATTATTGTTATTATTACTATTTTTTTTAGAGATGAGATCTTGCTCTGTTGCCCAGGCTGCAGTGCATTGGCGTGGTCATAGCTCACCACAGCCTCAACGTCCTGGCCTCAAGGACTCCTCCCACCTCAGCCTCCCAAAGTGCTGAGATTACAGTTGTGACCCACTGTGCCCAGCCTTAAATTATATTATTTCAGTCATTAACATGATAGTGTCTGTCACCTCTTCACATCCCACCTTCCCATTAACAACCTCCTAATAAAAGTTATGAGCTCATATAGAAAGAAAGTGGTTAGGAGTTTCAATAAAGCATAACTCATAGGGCTTTCCAGAGGCTACATCACCTATCCACAATTGTATGTAAAGGCTGTTAAAAATGGTCTTTCCTCCCTTTTCCAACTACGTAACTGTGAGGCTAAAATTTTTTCATATTTTTCATCTAAAACAATATATTGTAACAGATTGAAAGAAGCAGATAATGTCTTCTATTCAGCCAGACATTTAAAAGATCATGAAAATGTAAAATGGTGCCATTCTTTTGACTTTTTTTTTTATTTTGGAAAATTTCCTTCAGTAAAATATTTATATTCATATTTAAGGAATTTATTATTTTTAAGTGAATTAAATACTTTAATTTTTTGTTTTAATTTCTTATGTGAGTAATGATAGAATCCCTCTGGGCTCCTCAATTATTATTGTTATTTTTTTTTTTGGAGGCGGAGTCTCACTCTTGCTCAGGCTGGAGTGCAGTGGTGCGATCCCAGCTCACTGCAACCTCCACCTCCCGGGTTCAAGCGATTCTCCTGCCTCACCTTCCCAAGTAGCTAGGACTACAGGCATGTGCCCACACCCAGCTAATTTTTTGTATTTTTAGTAGAGACAGGGTTTCACCAAATTGGCCAGGCTGGTCTCGAACTCCTGACCTTGTGATCCGCCCACCTCGGCCTCCCAAAGTGCTGAGATTACAGGCGTGAGTCACCGCGCCCGGCCCAAGCTCCTCAGTTTTTAAGAATGTGAAGCAATCCTTTACAAAATGTTTGAGAATAGTTGGAATAGTACATCATGTCTGTGAAGCCAAGATTGTAAGTTCTATTTCTCTGAGTTAGTTAGCTTCACATAACAGACGGTTAAACATGGAAAGTGGCAAGGCATCCCACAGAATAGGATACAGTTTTTGTAAATCATGTCTGATAAGGGATTTGTAACTCCAACATGTAAAAATTCATTAATGAAAAAACCCAGCCAGGTGCGGTGGTGCACGCCTGTAGTCCCAGCTATTTGGGAGGCTGAGGCAGGAGGATTGATCGAACCCAGGAGTTCAAGTCCAACCTGAGCAACATAGCAAAACTATACCTCTAAAAAGTAATAATAATACGTCCAGTTTTTATTTTATTTATTTCTATTTTTTCAAGACATAGTCTCGCTCTGTCGCCCAGGCTGGAGTGCAGCGGCACAATCTTGGCTCAGTGGAACCTCTGCCCCTCCCCGCCGGCTCAAGGGATCCTCCCACCTTAGCCTCCTGAGTAGGTGGGATTACAGGTGCCTGTCACCATGCCTGGCTAATTTTTTGTATTTTTAGTAGAGACAAGGTTTCACCATGTTGGCCAGGCTGGTCTCAAACTCCTGATAAGTCCAGTTTTTAAATGGGCAAAATATTTGAACAGACATTTCTCCAAAGAAGATGTACAAATGGCCAATAAGAAAATGAAAAGACGCTCTACTTTGATAGCCATCAGAGAAATGTAAATCAAAACCACAATGAGATATCACTTCAGACCCACAAGGATGGCTGTAATAAAAAAGATAATATCAAATGTTGGTAAGGATATGGAGAAATTAGAACCCCTTATACTGGAAATGTAAAATAGTACAGCCCCTTTAAAGTCTGGTAGTTTTTCAGAAGGTAAAACATAAGAGTTACCACATTACTTAGCCATTCCATTTCTAGGTATATATCCAAGAAAAAGGAAAACACACAAAATGAACTCCACAAAGAAATCTTACACACTAATGTTCATAGTAACATTATTCATAATAGCCAAAACTGGAAACAATCCAAAGTCCATCGGCTGATACATAAACAAATGTAGGATATGCACATAATGGAATATTGTCAAAAGTAAAGTACTTAGTATATGCAAAAACATGAACTTTGAAAACACGCTAACTGAAAGCCAAAACAACGCCAGTCATGGTGGCTCACGGTGGTAATCCCAACACTTTGAGAGGCCGAGGCAGGTGGATTGCTTGAGCCCAGGAGTTCAAGACCAGCCTGGACAATATGGCAAAACCCCATCTCTATAAATTATAAAATTTAGCTGGGCATGGTGGCACATGCCTGTAGTCCATTATCGGGAGGTCTAGGTGGGAGGATTGATTGAGCCCAGGAGGTTGAGGCTGCAGTGGGCCATGATTGTGCCACTGCATTCGAGCCTGGGTGACAGAGTGAGATCCTGTCTCAAAGAAAAAAGAAAACTAGAAACAAAAAGAACACATATTGTATGATTACATTAAATATGGGCACATCCCTAGAGACAAAATAGATTAGTAGTTGCCCAGGGCTTAGGGATTGGAGGGAAATGGGAGTGACTGCTAACAGGTACAGATTTCTCTTTGGGGTGATAAAATGTTTTAAATGTGTGATGGTTCTGTAAACTTGAATATATTCATAAATAAAAACTATTGAGTTATACACTTCAGATGGGTGAATTGTATGTATGTGAATCATGTCTCAAGCCAGTACTAAAAAAGAAATTATAAAAGCTTAAATACATAATATGCTTATTCTACTTTCAAACCTTTTTTTTTTTTTTGAGACAGGGTCTGGCCCTGTTGCCCAGGCTGGAATGCAGTGGTGTGATCTTGGTTCACTGCAACCAACACCTCCTGGGCTCAAGCCATCCTCCCACCTCATCCTCCCAAGTAGCTGGGATTACAGATACCTGCCACCACACCCAGCTAATTTTTGCGTTTTTTGTAGAGATGGGGTTTCGCAATGTTGCCAGGCTGGTCTCCAACTCCTGAGCTCAAGTGATCCACCTGCCTCAGCCTCCCAAAGTGCTGGGATTATAGGCGTGAGCCACTGTGCCTGGCCCCCCTACCTTCTTTCTTTTAGCCAGTTGTACATGGTTGTGTTATTCACAGAGAAGATAAAATTAAGTCATTGGTAATATGTATGTCTTGATAACTAGTCCAGTTTTTGCTCTACTCCTTTGATTTGGGGTCCCTGCCTGTTCCCCATTAACATCGCCTGAAAAATGATATTAGGATTATAGATTATTATTTCAGAAGCAAAACTGGATTTTGATAGTTTTTGATAGTAATAAGTTTTTGGGATGCATAAGCATGGGACAGCTGTTCTTGCTACACTAAGCAGTTTGTTACAGAAGGGCATTGGAAACTTGCCCTGTTTTCTTTTCTTTTCTTTTCTTTTTTTTTTTTTTTTTTTTAGTTTGAGACAGAGTCTCCATCTGTTGCCCAGGCTGGACTGCAGTGGTATGATCTTGGCTCACTGCAACCTCCGCCTCCCGGGTTCAAGCAATTCTCCGGTCTCAGCCTCCCAAGTAGCTGGGATTACAGGGGCCTGCCACCACGCCCCGCTAATTTTTGTTTTGTTGTTGTTGTTGTTGTTGTTTGTTTGTTTTGTTTTCAAGACGGAGTCTGGCTCTGTCGCCCAGGCTGCAGTGCAATGGCATGATCTCGGCTCACTGCAACCTTTGCCTCCTGGATTCAAGCAATTCTCCTGCCTCAGCCTCCCACGTAGCTGGGATTACAGGCGTGTACCACCATGCCCAGCTAATTTTTGTATTTTTAGTAGAGACAGGGTTTTACCATGTTGGCCAGGCTGGTCTTGAACTCCTGACCTCAGGTGATCCACCTGCCTCGGCCTCCCAAAGTGCTGTGATTACAGGCGTAAGCCACCATGCCTGGCCAATTTTTGTATTTTTAGTAGAGATGGGGTTTCACCATTTTGGCCAGACTGGTCTTGAACTCCTGACCTCGAGTGATCTGCCCGTCTCGGCCTTCCAAAGTACTGGGAGCCACTCTGCCCAGCCTGTTTTCTTAAAATGACCTGTTCTGGCAACAGATTCAGGTAATAATACAACTTCATTCCTTATGGAGGCCCAGTCTCTCTTTTGGGTACTACAAAACTGTTCAGTTTTTCTTTGCCCAGTAGCATTATGGTAACCAGGCCAGAAAACAAAAATGCTTCACTCTCAGCGTTGGCTACCCAAGTGGTTCATAGCTGTTATGTTAAAAGGCTTTTTATTGTGAGAATTAAATGTGACCATAACCAGCAGGATATGCTCTTGAGCATTCTGGTTAACTTCCATTGTTAATTAATGCGGTTGATTGAGAATTACATGTATAGATTGTGTTACGAACATTTGACTACTGAGGAGCTAGGCCAGAAAAAAACATTTAGTGATGCAACTGATACTTCTGCTAATTCCCCAGGTATCTGGATAGCATTTTAGGGATTCTGTGAAATTGGATGGGGGAAAAGACTTTCACTAATCGCTAACTGAAATTGAGCATTCCCTTTTATTATTAATGTAGGCCAGAATTTACAGAGGTAATAG
This sequence comes from Homo sapiens, assembly GCF_000001405.40. Classification (NCBI taxonomy): domain Eukaryota; kingdom Metazoa; phylum Chordata; class Mammalia; order Primates; family Hominidae; genus Homo; species Homo sapiens. Next base: position 33,149,085 of record NC_000011.10, on the reverse strand, counting down.
TGTTAGCAGCAGCACTCATCACTCATGTAGTGAATTGGCCCCTAAAGCTTGTTATTTGATGTATTAAGTATATATTACTATAAAAAACCTCTGGAGCAAGGAGCGGTGGTACACGCCTGTAGTCCCAGCTACGTGGGAGGCTGAGACAGGAGGATCACTGGAGCCCAGGATCTCTAGATCAGCAATGTAGAGAGAGCCTGTCTCTTTAAAAAAAAAAAAAAAAAACACAGCAACAGTACACACACACATGCTTTTTCCTTGGAAATCCCTCAGAATTTATGTATTTAAGAATATTATTCTGAGAAAAGGCTCATAGGTTTCACTAGACTGCAGAAAGATTCTGTGGCACCAAAGGAGCAACCAACTAGAGAGCATAGTTTTTTTTTTTTTTGAGATGGAGTCTCCTCTGTCACCCAGGTTGGAGTGCTGTGGCGTAATCTCGGCTCACTGCAACCTCTGCTTCCCAGGTTCAAGCGTTTCTCCCACCTCAGCCTCCTGAGTGTGTGAGACTACAGGCACATACCACCACGCCTGCTAATTTTTGTATTTTTAGTAGAGACGGGGTGTCACTGTGTTGGTCAGGCTGGTCTTGAACTCCTGACCTGAAGTGATCCACCTGCCTTGGCCTCCCAAAATGCTGGGATTACAGGCGTGAGCCACTGCACCCGATGAGCCATGGTTTTCAACTAGGACTGCTATACGTTAGAATTACTTGAAAAGTTTTTAAAAAATATTGATAGTATGTACATTCCTAGAGATTCAGGTTTAGTTGATTGAGGGCGAGGCTTGGACATCTTTTAAAATCTCCTTCCCTTAGGTGATTCTAATGCAGAGCCAGGATTGAGAATCACTAAAGGGCTGGCTCATTTGATGTATTAAGGAGACATGTATACGTCTTATTGTGATTATGCTTGGTTGGATATCAGATTCTATGCTCTTCAGTTGGTCTCTTTTACAGATTATATGGTATACCTTACCTGATTTGGTAGGTTAATTTGAGCAAGTGGGTCTTGAGCTCCAGAATATCTATGAACACTAAAGTAATTTAAATAGCTCTCTAAATGCAAAATTGACCTTGTATCAAGAGTAAAAACAATTATAGCAGTAAACCTTGGCAGTGATTCTGCTTGTCTACAATCCTTTCCCTCTTTCAGAGGGCAAAAATCACAAATCTTAATACCAAGAGAAAAACGACCATATGTTTTAGTAACAAATTTGAGATTATATCAGGTTTATTCTTCAGTGATACTGAAAGGCTAAAAGAAATCGACAACTCATACCTTGTAGGATTCTTTGTCTATCCCATCCCCTGGCATTTTTCCAAAGCAAATCCATGATTCAGAGTGGTTTTGGGTGTTTGTTATCACTGATTACCTAAAGCAGTTCAAGTATAGATGAACTGTTTTTTGGTTCCCATATCAGTTTTATTTCTTAGTTAATCGTTATCATTTTATAGTCGGTATCTCAAGACTGAAATTCTAGTTTACGTAAAATTTCTTTTTTTTTTTTGAGACTAAGTCTCACTCTGTTGCCCAGGCTGGAGGCTCACTGCAGCCTCTGCCTCCTGGTCTCAAGCGATTCTCTTGCCTCAGCCTCCCAAGTATCTGTGACTACAGGCACGCACCACCATGCCTGGCTAATTTTTGTATTTTTAATAGAGATGGGGTTTTACTATGTTGGCCAGGCTGGTCTCGAACTCCTGACCTCGTGATCTGCCCACCTCGGGCTCCCAAAGTGCTGGGATTACAGGTGTGAGCCACCAAGCCTGGCCTCTTTCTTTCTTTTTTTTTAGAGACAGTGTCTCACTGTCACCCAGGCTGGAGTGCAGTGGCGCAGCCTTAGCTCACTGCAACCTTGAACTCCTGGGCTCAAGAGATCTTCCTGCCTCAGTGTCCCAGGTAGCTAGGACTGCAGGTGCCTGCCACCACGCCTGGCTAAGTTGTTTTTGTTTTGTTTTGGTAGAGACAGAGTCTCACTGTGTTGCCCAGGCTGGTCTTGAACTTCTGGCCTCAAGCAGTCCGCCTGCCTAGTAGCTAGGGCTGCAGGCACACACCACCATGCCTGGCTAATTTTTATATTTTTTGTAGAGACCAGTGTCTCACTATGTTGCTCAGCTGCTCTTGAACTTCTGGCCTCAAGCGGTCCTCATGCCTTGGCCTCTCAAAGTGCTGGGATTACAGGCATGAGCTACCATGCCTGGCCTAAAATTTCTTTTAATTTTTTTTTTTTTCAAGAAGTAAACCCATTGAAAGAATTCTTTATTTTGTTATGTATCCCAAGGGCCACTACAATGTCTGACACATACTAGGCACTGAGTGAATATTTCTCAGACGAATAAGAAAAATTCAAACAAACCAGAAGGGTATATGGCAGAGTAAGTGTATGTGTTGTTTGCATGTCTCCCTGCTCACCATCACTTTTTATTTTCCATGTGGCTACCTGCCATGCCTTTTTTTTTTTTTAAGTGACTACAAATTCCATAATTTATTTAATTGGTCCTTTTTTATATGTATTTATTTAATTTTAACAAATAGAGACAGGGTTTTGTTCTCTTACTCGGGGTAGAGTGCAGTGGTGTGATTATAGCTCACCGCATCCTTGAACTCCTGGGGTCAAGCGATCTTTCCACCTTAGCCTCTTGAGTAGCTGGGACTATAGGCATGCACCACCACATCTGGCTATACATAGTTATTTAATTTATTTTCAGTCTTATGTAACTATAGTCTAGTAGCTGACTCATTATATATCTTTGTGTACATGTGCAGTAGGGTGTTAATAGAAGTGGAATTCAGAATCGGACATTTATATTAAACGTTGATCAGTTTCTTTTTTTCTTTTTTTTTGAGACGGAGTCTTGCTCTATTACCCAGGCTGGAGTGGAGTGCAGTGGTGTGATCTTGGCTTACTGCAACCTCTGCTGCCTGGGTTCAAGCAGTTCTCCTGTCTCAGCCTCCCGAGTAGCTGGGACTACAGGTGTGCACCACCACTCCCAGCTAATTTTTGTATTTTTAGTAGAGACGGGGGTTTCACCATATTGGTTGGGCTGGTCTCGAACTCCTGACCTCAGGTGATCCACTCGCCTCAGCCTCCCAAAGTGCTGGGATTACAGGCCTGAGCCATCGCCCCTGGCCACATTGATCAGTTTCTACTTGCCCTTGCTAACAATATGAGAATATCTTTTTCTGCTTACCCTCACCAGTGCAATTTAATTATAAAATGTTGGATCTTTGTTTTCTGGTTTATATTTGCATTTCTTTTTTTTGTTTGTTTTTGAGACGGAGTCTTGCTCTGTCATGCAGGCTGGAGTGCAGTGGCGCCATCTCTGCTCACTGCAAGCTCTGCCTCCCAGGTTCACGCTATTCTCTTGCCTCAGCCTCCTGAGTAGCTGGGACTACAGGTGCCCACCACCACGCCCAGCTAATTTTTTGTGTTTTTTAGTGGAGATGGGGTTTCACCCTGTTAGCCAGGATGGTTTCTGTTCTCCTGACCTAGTGAGCTGCCTGCTTTGGCCTCCCAAAGTGCTGGGATTATTACAGGCATGAGCCACCGTGCCCGGCCAATATTTGCATTTCTTTTGAGTCTTTAAAAAGTTAATTATAAACTGTTCATATGCTTTGCCCTTTTTTTTATTTTTAAATTTTTATTAAAAAATGTTTTTTTGACACAGAGTCTTGCCCTGTCACCCAGTTTGGAGTGCAGTGGTGCGATCATGGCTCAACCTCCTGGGCTCAGGTGATCCTGCCACCTCAGCTTCCCAAGTAGGTGGGACCATAGGTGCATGCCACCATGCCCCACTAATTCTTTGTATTTTTTGTAGAGACGGGGTTTCGCCATATTGCTGAGGTTAGTCTCAGACTCCTGGGCTCAAGCAATCCTCCTGCCCACCCACCAACCCCAAAGTGCTGAGATTGCAGGTTGAGCCTCTGCATCCGGCTGCATTTTCTTTTTGAACCACTGGTGGTTTATTGATTGTACTTTAATAAATTTAGTATTTTTGTCATGTGTTGGAGGTTTTTTTTACGTTTGTCTTTTTTTATTTTGGTACTTTTCTCATGCGCAAATTTTAACTTACCATGTAAGTTTACTCTTTAAAGGCTTTTTTTTTTTTAAAGACAGGGTCTGGCTCTGTCACCCAGGCCCGAGTGCAGTGGCGGCAATCTCAGTTCCCTGCAACTTCTCCCTCCCGGGCTCAAGCGATCCCACCGCAGCTTCCCAAGTACGTGAGACTACAGGTGTGTGGCACACACCTGGCTAATTTTTGTATTTGGGTAGAGACGGGATTCTGCCGTGTTGCCCAGGCTGGTCCAGAAGAACGCCTGAGCTCAAGGAATCCTCCCGTCTCGGCCTCCCAAAAGGCTTCTGAAGAGCTTTTCCAATGCAGAAATACATTTAACCGTATTCTGCTCTAGTTCTGTCTTGTGTTTTGTTTTTAACATTTAAATCTTTGATCTCTCTTAAGTTTATTTGGGCAGAAAGAGTAAAGTAGGAATTCAACTTTATTTTGATAAAATTGACTTCACAGTTATTCTAACAGATGATTATATAGTTATTCTGAAACCATTTATTGAAAAATTCACCATTCTGATTTGAACATGCCACCTTTATTATTTGCTGATTTTCCATTTGCTGTTCTTTCTGAGCCTGTAGTTTCATATATGGGAAGAGCCAATAGTCCCTTATAAACTTTACAGCTTTAGTTCCTTGAGCAAGCTATTCATAAAGTTCTTATATGTTAGGAAAGCATCCTAATTTTAATTTTGAATTACAGTAGTCAACATGTCTTTTTTTCTAAATAAGTAAATGCTTACCAGTGGTGCAAGCTAATTTATTCCAAAGAAAAGAGTTTATTTCTCCTAGGTAATTAAAAAAATCTGAACAGATACTTTTTTTAAACTTTTCCAAACTGGTGTTTTGACTGAATTGTTCCATGAAATACTAATTCCACTAAAAAAAAGGGGGAGTGGTGGGGGAGAAAAGTGATAGGGGCAGTGCTTCCCTCTTTATGCTCGGATATTATCAATATATATTGCCATTTATAGATGTCAGGATGTCCTAGAAAAAAGGCAAAACAAAACTTCATATAAATTAACTTTTTTTTTTGAGACGTAGTCTCTGTCACCCAGGCTGGAGTGCAGTGGTGCTATCTCGGCTAACTGTAAGCTCCGCCTCCTGGGTTCACGCCATTCTCCTGCTTTAGCCTCCCGAGTAGCTGGGACTACAGGCGCCCACCACCATGCCCGGCTAATTTTTTGTGTTTTTAGTAGAGATGGGGTTTCACCATGTTAGCCAGGATGGTCCCAATCTCCTGACCTTGTAATCTGCCTGTCTCAGCCTCCCAAAGTGCTGTGTGGCTTTGTCACCCAGGCTGGAGTGCAGTGGCGCAATCTCACTCACAGTAACCTCTGCCTCCTGGATTCAAGCAATTCTTGTGCCTCAGCCTTCCAGGTAGCAGGGATTACAGGCACACACCACCACGCCCAGCTAATTTTTCTGTTTTTAGTAGAGACTGGGTTTCAACATGTTAGCCTGGCTGGTCTTGAACTCCTGGCCGCAAGTAATCTGCCTGCCTCGGCCTCCCAAAGTGCTGGGATTGTAGATGTGAGCCACCACACCTGGCCTGTATAAATTAACATTTATCTGGCTTATTTGACCATCCCTTTTTGTGGTACACAGTAGTATTCTGAACAACAATTTGAGAATTAATACTTTTATTTTTGCTTCAAGTGCTGGCTACTATTTTAGGCATTTTTTTCAAAAATTAAATTTCTATAATAAAAGTAAAACTACCTTACCAAAGGATTTGGGGAATATTGAAAGAAAAGGGGAAAAAAAATCAGCCTCTAATTCTACTGCTTATCTTCCAAGGATGACCAGTCTAAGCATTTGAATATATTTTAAAAATCTCTTTAATTGCAGATTTCTTTTATAGTTTTCATTGTATTGTACATACAATTGTGAATTGTGTTTTTAAAATTTCTTTACATCGAAATAAGATTTCCATGTCATTTCATGCATTTTCTTTGTGGCGCAGGATGAATGCTTTAACAGCAGTGTTTCTCAAAGTTGGTCCAGGAACCCCAAGGGTTCCTAAGGACTTTCAGAGGATCTGTGACTTCAACCTCTCTCATAATAAATCTAAGACATTATTTGCCCTTTTTCACTCCTAATCTCTCACGGGCATACAGTGGAATTTTTCAGCATCTGTATGATCTGATAGGGCAGCAGATTGAATACAGAAGCAGATGTGAAAATTCAGCTGCCTTTTAAAAAGTCAAACATTGAATGGATTTATAAATACGTAAAAAGCGACATTCTTATTACTGAATTTTAAGTTATTTTTTATAAAGAAAAAACATGTAAAAAGTTTTATTTGTAAATCAATCAATATTTAAATTTGTTTTAATTTCTAATATGGTAAATATTGATAAAACCCACATAAAAGCTCTTTGTGGTTCTTAAATTTTAAGAGCGTAGAGGGGTCCTGAGACCATAAAGTTTGAGAGCTGCTGTTTTATAGTATTTAATACAAAAGTAAGTTTATTTGAATAAAAAATACTTGATCACTTGGTTTTATTATCTTTATGCAAGTTACTTCTGATTACAAATACAATCGTCCCTCAGTATCTGTGGGGGATTGTTGCCAGGACACCCCCTTAGATACCAGAGTCCATGTGTGCTCGTGTCTCTTATATAAAAATAATGTATTTGCATATAGCTTACATATGTCCTCCCAAATACTTAACTCATATCTAGATTATAATAACGTCATATAATACAGATGCCATGTAAATAGTTGTTATACTGTGTTGTTTAGGAAATAATGATAAATAAAAAGGCTGTACGTGTTTAGTGCTGTCTTTTTTTTTTCTCTCTGAGTATTTTCAATCCACCCTTGGTTGAGTATAAGGATGCGGAGCCCACAGATAAGGAAGGACGATTGTACACATCGGTTCTAGGAAACACACTTCTCTTTTATAAGAGGATATTTTTATGCTTTGTAATGTGACATTGCATCTGAGGACTTTATTGTTCATGAATTAAGTTAGGCATGAGATTTTTAAAACAGTAACTTTAGTTCACTGTTGTTTTTTTTCCCCAGGCAGCTGAGTATGTCCCAGAGAAGGTGAAGAAAGCGGAAAAGAAATTAGAAGAGAATCCATATGACCTTGATGCTTGGAGCATTCTCATTCGAGAGGCACAGGTTTAGTGATATAGGATTACATTTCCTTCTCTATGGGTCCAATCACACTACTTGGTTCTGCAGTGAATAATATTTTCATAATCCTAACATTGTAAATGCTGTTTATTGGTTTTCAATTTTAGAATCAACCTATAGACAAAGCACGGAAGACTTATGAACGCCTTGTTGCCCAGTTCCCCAGTTCTGGCAGATTCTGGAAACTGTACATTGAAGCAGAGGTTACTATTTTATTTTATTTTTTCTTATATCAGTATTGCAGCATTCACTGTAGTGATAGAAAACAAGTTAGGAACATAGCCAATTAGGACAAGGAGGATTTAAATGTGTCTTACCTTTATTTTGTAAAATAGGTATAAAGGAGTAATTAAAATGAATTTTTGAAATTTGGGTCTTTTACAAGCTGATGATTGTTGCATTTTGGAGTTGCAACAACATTAAAACAGTTTCAATGGTATTGGAGTGCTTTAGCCTTTTATTTACTTGTCATGTGTCAATTTATTGCCTCCTGTGTCATTTATTTAGAACTCATTTTTCTTTTTATTCCTACTTACAAACTAATATGAATGGGAGTATATGAAAATACAGAAATGTTAACTTAGTTTTTCATAGAGTATTTTGAGTGTCTGGTGAAATGAAACATTTTAAGAGAAGAATTACTTCACATTTTAATTTTGTGAAAATGCATGGTTTATCAATGTAAGCACTTCAATAATTTAACGATTTTTCTGTAAGATAGTTTATATTATGCAAGAATAAGCTAATGTGATTCAAACCTATTTAATCCTATTTAATCATAATTTTACCCAATGATACTTTGATATTTTTTTCTTGCTTTTTATATCTTGAAATTTGAACCCAGGCATGTATATTTTAAAGAGTAAGGACCCCATTCATGATTATGGTTAGGAGGAAAATGTTAATTTTTGAAGACTGGAATTAGTAAAAATGATAATAAAAGTTTTAATGTGTCAATAACAATTGGCACCAAGTAGTCATTTTCAGGTTATTAATATAAATTAATGATATGGAAGGGGTAAGATGTAAATAACTGATATCCACATTAAGCTGAAAATTATACGCATTTCTTTTTGTAACTTATGCAGTACTCTTATTTTTAATATTAATTTTGTGATATAGATTTTCAGCATAATCAAGTACACTGCAGCCTCAACATAACATTTTCTGCTGTACCTGAAATTTGATAATATTTAGGTCTGTTTTGGACCTATTCAAAGGGCTTTGGTCATCAGCAGTACTGAATATACTTCAGCACAACACAGTGTCATCTGTGATATGTCCTCAGAATGGACCCAACCAATAGCAGATTTAAATAGAGGCTACAGTGTACTCATTGTATTTGTGCTATAGTTTAGATTGTATTACTTGGTGGGGAGGGAAATTACTGGATAATAGCAGGAACATTGTGTGTGTTTTATTTTTGTGTGTGTGGTTGTGTATGTGGTATGTATGTTTGTGTGTTTGTATGTATGAGAGAGATTGTGCCTTATGTGGAGTCTGGTAGTTTTGGCCCATGACCATACCTTAAAGTTTCATCACCTATCCTCTGGGACCATTTCTTTCCTTAATATATTTAAATCACCAAAGTAGCTTGGCACAAAACAGGTGAGGCCTGTCTGAAATATGCTGAAGCCCGTGCTGCTTTGTATTAACTCATTAAAACAAGGAACCTGGATCACCTGCACCTGATCTGCATTCTAGTCTGGCTTTAGAAACACATTAGACTTAAATTCAAACGCACCAGAAATGAAAATAATTGATATATAATTGTTTTTGTATAGTGAAGTAGAACTTTCTGAGTTTTTGAAATTTCCTTGTTTCTCAATTATTCAGGCATTATTCATGCATTTTATTATAGCGTAAGTTAAACTGAAATAGGCAGTTAGATACTCCATTCTGTAACTCTGAACACAATGGGTTTGTTTCTCCAATTTCCTAGCTGTAAGTTACAAACTGCATCCTAAAAAAAAGTTTCAGGAAGACCAGATGTTATTCCAAGGGGCTGAAAGTTGTCTACATAACAGGCTCAATTCATATAATGAAATGAAGAGCTGCTAGCAGTTGCCTGATTTATTTAGTTGGTAATATTTGCAGTTACTTCACACACACAAACATACACACGCGCACAAATAGGTATATATAACATGTATTAAGAACAAATGGTAAATAATATATATGTATATTTTTTAAAATTTATATTTTTGGTTTAGGAATTAAGGTTTTAAATTGAATGCTGGTTTTAGAAATGCATATCCTGAGCTGTGTTTTTCTCTTTCCTGGTTTGCTGTTTATTTTTTATTTTCACATTCTATATTTTTGTTTAGCCTGTGAGAGGCTAAAGTTTTCTTTGATCATATCACTCAATGTGGCCATTAATATTTCTGGAGAAGACACAAACCTATTTATAATACTTTTTAAAAATCCGAAGTGATAATAAGAATGTTTTTACATTGAAAGTAATACTTAAGTGTTTACATAACATTCTGTATGCACTCAAGAAAATAAAGTTTTGTTAATACATTTGTTGTAACTCAGTACTTCATGGTGGGAAAATTGTAATGTTCATTTCTTTATATTCTGCTAAGCCAACTTGTGTGACTCCAAATACCTTTTTTTAATAGAAAATACATACATCTTTAGTAACGGAAGATAATTTGCTTCCCCAGAGAAACTCCTTGCAAATCCTATTTAAGTACAAAATGTCAAAGGAAAAAAGTATTAAACTTTTTAAAAAAATTTGAAACATCAGTTGGAAATGAGAGCATATTAATTACTTTTAAAAAAGGTTAATGATGCTGCTATATGAGCCAGTGCATCAGATTTGCTCATAACTGAGAGTTGAGCAGTATCTATTTAGCTATGTAAAATTTGGATTTAAAATGTCATTCTGAATTTGTCACATGCTTTCATTTTTTTGCTGTAGTGTGGAAATTGTTGGAGGTAAAATTATCTTGCTCTAGTGAATGGCATTTAGGACAAACTTCTGTGTATTCTTAATATATAATTTCAAAAACTAGGCCAAATTACTTTGGTGTTATATATAATACATAGGAGATAACATTTTGCCTCCACTCCCTGAAATACATTGTTCTACTCTTTATTCCAAAACTGCTAGGTCACATGATTTAACAGTATTATTATAAGATGAGCAAGTCATTAATTGTATGACTATTCTTAAAGTGATAGTTATCAAGTATAAAGTTTAAATATCACTATGATATGAAAGTACTTTTGTGACTTCTTAGTTTCAAATAAAGGAAACATTTAAATATGTCTCCAGCTATTTAATCGGATAAGGATATCTTAAATGCAGTTTAGTATATTTTTGGATTTAATAAATGAGAGGTTTTAAACACTTGAGTTAAGTGGAATGCCCCAGTCAGAGCCTCAGTGCTCTTTAAAGAACTACTTTTTACAATGATCAAAAAGGTCACTAAATAATCACAAAATTGAGAAAACCTACAGAATTTTGACATATTCTTTTAAATTGTTCTGCCCCACCCAGCCTGTGGTTTCTGTAGCTTTTCATGTAATTAGGTGATGAGTGACAACATGTAAGCTACAATATCTTATTGTTAGAGAAGTAATTTGTTTTGAATCGGGCCACATTCATAAGGAATTTTTTTACTGAAGCATGTTTTTTATTGGTGGCTGAAGGAGAAATGAAGAAGGTAATGCTGCTGGTAATAGCAACGATGTATCTTGCTGTCTGTGAAAGCTGTATTTCTTTAATAAAAGCATATAGAGAATTGATTGTTTTATTTAAAATTTTTACAAAAGATGAATTCTTTTCTCTATACTTGGTTTTTCCTTCCTTATAAATAATGGGTTGTGTAGCATACATTTCAGTTTTTCAAAATGACCTTTCTTCTTGGAAAATGGAAGTGAACTCAGGATGCAACATGAGTGTCCTAAATTGAAATAAACTTTTCCACTGTTGATACTGTTTTAATACCTTTACATAGCAATTTAAATTACTGTATTATAATGTTTTCTTTCTGTTGAGCAATGTGATTTTAAAATGCAGATACAATTACTGCATTATATAGATTATGGTGATTTCTATACTTCAGCTTGCAGCCTTTTTACCAAAAAAAATCTGTACTCTTTTCTTATAGATCTACACTTTTCCTGTTTGTAATAAATGTTGGTCCATGTCTGTGTGATTATTCAGATTTTTACTTTAAAACTCAATATGCTTTTTTATCTAGTTTCTTAGATGCATATATAAATGTAGAATAGAGATGTATTACAAGAAAAAAGTACTTGTAAACAGAACTGAGTGATAATCTGAAAGTGCTTTGAATAAAGTACTGTTTGATAAGCAAAGGAAATATTTGCATGTTGACTATAATAAGTAGTAAACTATTTTAGGTTTTATTGAATTATCTGATTCCATCCCTTTTCCCTATCCATTCTATAACAGAGATGTTTAGATGCTGTCACTTCTACTAACATGGTCTATACATTTTTTCCCTTGGGACTTTTTTTCTCAGCCAAAGCAACTACTTTCAAAAGGATGTAGTCACTTAGATAATGACATTTCTTTAAATAAAACTGTATGTTTTCTAATCTTTATAATTTCTAGATAATTCTTTTATGTGAAATGTAGCCATTTATTTTCAAGCAAAATCTTGTGCTAGTCAACCTGATTGCCTATGTATTTCTCAGCTTTATAAAGCAAAACTAATCTCTGCAGTCATTAGTAAACACATTGAAAATATATGGTCATTTTCTTTACCCTGCAAAGACTCTTACGTTTTAAACTCAGCTTCTTTATATTCTATTCTTTGGTGTAATAAGAGTCATGATATATTCTGAAATTGTGGAAAAAGGTTTATGATAAAAAATGCATATACATTCTAAAATTAATGGTGAAACAAAAAGGACTATTGGATCAGACAATTTGAAGTTTTTGGGGGAGGTAGTAATGTTTTACCTAAATTTCCTAGACATTCATGGAATAACATAATAATATGTAATACCTAATACTTAGTTGTTAAAAATATTGGGTATTATAGTCATTAGGATCATAGGGGATAATTTTGGTTCAAAACTCTATCCCTGTCCCAAAAGGTATTAAAGATACGCTGCAACGTAGCATCCATGAATCAACACAAACATGTAAGCCCCTCATAATATCACAGAGCTAGAAACCTCCATATTTGGAAATAAAACTAATTCTAACACATGAGACTTTTTACAGTGCTGAGCATTTTTGGTTATAACTTGAGCTCAGGGGAATCAGGTGGCAATTGACTTTCCTTTATAAAACAAAAGGACCAGTTTAAGTCAAAAGCTTAAATATTTTCTAATGGATTGTTTGTATTTTCTTTAACGCATCAGCTTTGAAACAGCTATTCCTTTGGAATGAGTCTGGTTCAAGGCACTTCCAGGAAATGAAGATGTCTAAAATATTACCAGTGACATCTGTAAAAAGTTGCACCTCTAAATAAATGTGGACAATGCATTTATTAGTTGTAACTTATTACTTTCAATTTTATTACTTTAATTTTACTGAATTTTTAAACTTTAAATTTTATTATTAAACCGGTTTGCTCCTAGCAACTTGGTAGCAGAAAACAAATAGTTGGTTTGTATAATGGCATAATAGGTTGAAGTCTGCATCTAGATTTTTTTCCCCCACATACCAGAATCCACAACAGTTTGAAAAAAAAATTGTGAATATTTGCTTTGAATACAACTTCTTGAGAAACTCAGCTGCTTTTCTAAGACTCAGGAAAGCATAATGTGGGTAAGTTTTACCATTTTGTATGCTAGACCTCCAAAGAAAAATTTTCTATTTGCAAGTGTTAATTAAGCAATAGTTCTAAAGACAAATTGACATCAGCGATAGGATTCAAATGTAGTTTTGAAATAGTACATTGCACCGTAGTAAGGGTCAAAGATAACAAGATCCCAAAGCTGTTTTTAGTCTTTCTGAAATGAAATCTAAATACTTCTATTCATGTGACAGAACATGTTCAGTTACAACCTTTTATTTAAATGCAACATTTCAGCTCTAGCATGTACTGTTGACGTTTTAAGTCTTCCTTTGTCCTAAGATTCATATTCTGCAACTTTTCATACTGGATTTGAAGAAAAAAGAAGGTTGGCTATTTTGTGATGATGGTTTCCCTGGAAATTTTTTCATTCACCAGACTATGACTACTGTACATTTTACATATAGTTGAAGTGGACATAATGTTTTAAGTCAGAAATTTTTAGAGCTGGAAGATGAATTAGTTTAGCCCCCTCATTTTATATGTGAGTAAACTAAATCAAGACATTGTTATCCCTGGAGCCAAAGTTTACAAACTTCACTGCTTTAGAATCACTTGGAAAGCTTTTAAAGCATACAAGCTTCCCAGTTAGCATACCAGCACTGCTGACTCAATCTCTAGAGGATGGACATATGGTATGTGTTTCTGGCAGCTAGTTTTGGGAATTGAGGCTTTGCAGGGCAGTAATTGAATCTTACTGCTGTCAGTAAATTTTATAGTTTGCAGAATATTTCCTATACTTGCCTGGACAATAAAGTGATTAGTCTCCTGGCTTGCTTTTTGTATATAATCGAGTGATCTTTGAAGCATCTACTATGTGCTTAGTATATTGTAACTGTTAGATTCACAGTCAGGGTCAGGGTTAGGGTTACGCTGTTTTAACTGTAACCGTTTTTTTACTAACTGAATTTATTCCTGGGTTTGAAAACTGATTTTCTGGTTGCATAAACTTTTTTAAAAAAGACAGTCACATGAGTGCCAAACTAAGAATCAGATAACCTTTAAGGACACTTCAAGTGTTACGGGAGAATCATCTAAGCTGAAGAATGTGGCTTAAAAGAATTAACTGCAGCTAACTTGTACCCTGTGTAGAGTTTGAACAAGAGTGCCACATCTTGGTATTTATTTTTGGTTTATTTAGCTAACATCCTTTTATTTCAGTGCAACTTGAGTGTTGTGCTGGTACTTCTCATTCTTCTGGGTGGTGGGGAATGGGATGTTTTCTCACAAATAACCAGTTATTTCTAACTTACTATAGTCAGGTTCAGTCCATTTCTGAGCTTTTCACTAGAAAGATCTGTAGTGTTTCTCAACCATTTTAAACCCATATCCTTATAAAAAATGAAAACTCAAATGCTTCCTTAATGGCTTTTGACAGTTTTAAAGTCAAATTTGATGACTAAAAAGTCCACCAGTGGTAATTTTAGAATGGTCTTTTCAGCTGTAGTTAAGAATCCAAGTACTAATGATATTTAGAATTACATTAGACTAAATTTTATAAAACTTAAATATCCAAAATGACAACACTACTAAGTATTACAGAAGTGCAGTGTCATTGGAGGGAAGATTGTCAGCAAAATAACTTTGTTTCCTGTGTTTGTACATTTCTTTTAGTTCCCTCATCCACCATTTCCTTTGGTTTTGGCTATCGTGTATGAAGAGAATTTTTGAAGGTTTTGTGCTTCCCGTATTTGGGGTATGGTATTGGGTATTAGGTGAAAAAATGCTTAAAACTTTGATTATTTAGGTTATCAGAGTTGAAGATCCAATCACGGCAGATCACATGGTTTAATCTGCTTTGTATTGGTTGAATAACGAGCATTGCTTTTAGGGTTTACAAACTGACAGTTATTTAAGCAATTTTTGTAATGCATTTGTAACTTTATTTTGAAATTACTTTGAACTTACAAAAAAGTTGCAAGAACAATGCAAAGAACTCCCATATATATTTTGCACTGCTTTTTAACATCTTGACATAAGTGCTTTACTGAATCTTTTTTTTCCGAACTATAGGAGATTGCATTGAATATATTATGAACTTTAATGCTTTGATGTGTTTGCTAATAACAAAGATTCTTATACATACACACAGTTGAGTGATGCAATTCAGGAAATGTAACATTAGTAGAATAATCTGCAGTCTATGTTATACTTTTGTCATGGTAATACTCTTAAATTTCTTCGGATTCATTATCTAATCCAAGGCCATTATATAATTGTCATTCCTCTTAGTCTCCTTCAATGTGGAACAGCCCCTCAGCCTTAATTTGTTTTGTTTTTGAGTCTTGCTCTGTCACCCAGGCTTGAGTGCAGTGGCGTGATCTCGGCTCACTACAACCTCAGCCTCCTGAATAGCTGGGACAAGTGTGCTCCACCACACCCAACTAATATTTGTATTTTTAGTAGAGATGGGGTTTCACCATTTTGGCCAGGCTGGTCTCAAATTCCTGACCTCAAGCCTTCCAAAGTGCTGGATTACAGGCGTAAGCCACTGCACCCAGCCCTCGGCCTTAATTTGAATTTGTTTGATGCTTCATCATTAGATTTAGGTTATAGGTTTTAGCTGAAAAGCCACCAAAATGGTCATGTGTCTTTAGTGTATTTCATCCAGAGGCGTAGTAATGTTCATTTGTCCCATATTGGTGATGTCAGTTTTCATGATGTGGTTCAGGTGTTGACCAGCTTGTCCACTGTGTAGTTAATATTATTCCTTTGATAATTAATAGAAAAAATAATGGGGAGATAATTTGAGACTAAATATTGTATTCTCTTCTAACAACTGTCCACTCCATTTAAACCCTATTGATTCTTGGTTGAATCAGTGATATTTTTCCATGGAATTATCTGGTGTTTTTCAATATGTTTATTGAGTGGAAACAGGTATTCTATTCATGACTCAAACTTTATTGTGTTTGAAAACTATTGGAAAGTCCTAGCTTTCCCCTCCCTACCATGATTTTTTTCATTTAAGAAGCTTACTAGTGAGTATAGTTAGTAAAGATAATTTTCAGGATTTTGTCAAATATAAAATCATTTACTGTAAATGATGCCTGTCAATTCTGTCATAAATCATATGGGGAAGAAAACTTAAAAATTGTTACTTCAAGCATTAGGTTATATATATTGTATGTTACATATATATTATATATAAACTGTATGATATAGGAAATGGATATCTATATTGATTTACTTGACCAAATGGCAAATTATTTTAAATAAGAATTTAGATATTTTAAAAATAATGCCATCTTTCGCTTTGTAAACAAATAGTCAAAAAGATCATCTAGACAAATACGTGATCATTTGCAAATGCTACATTATTTAACTCGTTAAAAGTTTTCAGTTGTTAGCAACACAAATAATGAAATTCTTAGCACTTTAAAGGAAATAGTTTCTATTAGCAATTAAAGATGTCAGATTGCTTATCCATGGGAATATTTGCCAAAAAGGTTCCTTTTTAAATTTGAATTTCCTGAGTTGACAGAATAGTTAGGAGATTAGCATTTAAATAACAGGTATTCCAAGTCAAAATAACTTTGAAAAAAAGTGTTTTATCTGGCTGGGCGCAGTTGTTCATGCCTGTAGTCCTAGCATTTGGGAGGCCAAGGTGGGCAGATTGCCTGAGCCCCACGAGTTTGAGACCAGCCTGGGCAATGTAGTAATCACCCCATCTCTAAAATACCTTTTTTTTTTTCTTCAACAGAAAATTATTATTCAAGTTCAGTTTTTTATTATGGGGGAGGGGAACTACTCTGTCCTGTGCCTCAACTGCAGGGTCAGAATTTTTCTTACTGTGTTACTGTAACAGTGGTCTGATCATATTTGGTAGTATGGAAAAGGTATGTTTAAAAATGTCTTCATTTATTTAAAGAAATGCAGTGCAAGGAATCTGCAGGTAACTCTATAAAGGATATATGCAGAAATAGGAATGAAAGAATTTGAAATCTGGGGACCCTAGGATATTCTGCTTGCAGCTTCCTTATTACTAGGACCTTAGCCAAACAATGTAACGTTTTTTCTTTCCAACTATTTATTATAAAAATTTTCAAACAAATTTGAAAGAATAATATATAGTCAATACCTGTGCACCTCTACATAGGCTCAATAAATGCTTTATATTACTCTGCTTATATAAAGAATAGTACCCTGTAAAACCACAAAGAATAGTACCCTGTAAAACCACAATACCATTATCACACTTAAAAGGAACAATAATGTTCAAATCTTTGTTTTTTTGAGACGGAGTCTCTGTAGCCCAGGCTAGAGTGCAGTGCCACGATCTCTGCTCACTGCAGGCTCCACCTCCCGGGTTCACGCCATTCTCCTGCCTCAGCCTCCCGAGTAGCTGGGACTACAGGCGCCCGCCACCACTCCCGGCTAATTTTTTTTTTTTGTATTTTTAGTAGAGATGGGGTTTCACTGTGTTAGCCAGGATGGTCTCGATCTCCTGACCTCGTGATCCGCCTGCCTCGGCCTCCCAAAGTGCGGGGATTACAGGCGTGAGCCACCGCACCCGGCCTGTTCAAATCTAATTTAATATTCAGTTCATGCTTAGATTTTTCCTCCATGTGGGCTTCTAGTCACTAGCCATTATACGAACTGACCTAAGAAATCTAAAATACAGTATAATTGTGGAAATAGCTATTAATATATAGTAGGTTTATAACTGACTCTTTCTTTGATCAGGAGTTTTTTGCATTCTTCATTAGCTGTCTCAGTATTAGGTCTATCAATATTTTGGTGGGCATTTGAAAAAATGGATTATGTATAGCTACTCACAACCACATAAAATTGCTTCAGAGAATTTAAGCAAACCTTTTTAGAAGATTTTATGGTACAATAACTTCTGTGTAGCCAGGTTATCCTTTGTATAAAATCTTATCTCTAAAATTCTAGTTGCTATTCTCCATACTTCCATAGTTTTTTAATTTTTAGCTGTAGATACTTGGACTTAATTTCAGAGAGTACAAAGGAATGCTGTACACAAAAGGGGCAAATCTTTGTAATTTTGGATTTTAAGAAATTTATAAGAGCATGTATTTTCTTACCTTTTTGAGACAGGGTCTCACTCTGTTGCCCAGGCTGGAATGCAGTAATGTAATCATGGCCTACTGCAGCCTTGACCTGCACAGGCTCAGGTGATCCTCCCACCTCAGCCTCCAGAGTAGCTGGGAATACAGGTGCATACCACCACACCCGGCTAATTTTTGTGGTGTTTTGGGTTGGTTGGTTGTTGTTTTTGGTAGAGACAAAAATAACAAAATTTTGTATTTTTTTGTTTTGCCATGTTGCCCAGGCTGGTCTTGAACTCCTGGACTCAATCAAAGAACATATTCTTTACCACTTTGAATATTTTTTTACATTCCACATTATAGAGAGAGCAGTAATTTTTACATCTGTTTCTGGGTTAGGAATTAGGAGTGTTATTAAAATGGCATTTACTTAAATCAAGGCCAAAACTAAGGATTTAGGTAGAGTGTATTAGCCTTTCAATACCTGCTTATTAAACAGTTGTTTTCATACTTTTCAAAGGTGTGTAGAAGTTTTGTAAATAAATTTTCTGATAGGATAAACTAGATTCCCTATGATCTCTTATTTATTTATCATTGTTTTGAGACAGAGTCTCACTCTTGCCCAGGCTGGAGTGTAGTGGCGCAATCTTGGCTCACCACAGCCTCTGCCTCCTGCATTCAAGCGATTCTCCTGGCTCAGCCTCCCGAGTAGCTGGGATTACAGGCGCCCATCACCACACCTGGCTAATTTTTGTATCTTTAGTAGAGACAGGCTTTCACCACGTTGGCCAGGCTGGTCTCGAACTCCTGACCTCTGGTGATCCACCCGCCTAGGCCTCCGAAAATGCTGGGATTACAGGCATGAGCCACCATGCCCAGCCTGATCTAAAAGGAAGTTTTTACTAATTGAGATTATGAAATTTTATGAAAAATAAAAATGAAAGAGGGGCACAATATCTAGCTCTGTATTTAAAAATATTAAAAGGATCTTGACTTTTCTAGTTAATGGGAAAATCTGATTTATTAAAACTAAATCTTTATTTCCAGTTATTTGTAATTTGTGGTGCATCAGGCTTAGGGATTCAAGATAAACTTTTTGAGCACATCTCCAGTCTATGCCACTGAAAACTCAAGTATCTTCATGTAGCTACCTGATATTCCTCAGTTGATTGTAAGTAAACCACTATGATGTTGCATCAGAATTTGTATTATTTACCTATAAAACAGTTTGCAATTCTAAGCATCCCACAATTGAAGTGTTTTGGAATTTTACTTTAGTGTATTCAGTTATGCTTGTAAGATACTTTTATGGGTAAGAAGAAAAGTTTACAAGCTGCAGTTTGTCATTTTTAGGAGACTGTGCAAACTAAAAATGCAGAATTGCATTGTTAGCAAACCTTGGAAAGTAATTTTGTATGTGGAGGACTAGTCCTTAAAAGTTCCCAAAAATTGTGGCCTTTTAGTAGAATGAAATTTACTGATGCCTACTGACGTATTTGCCTGGATTATAGTCACATAAAATTGTCCAAAGTATTAACACCTTTTTTTCAATAGTACAGTTGGCTGTTGAATTTAGAGATTCTCAAGAAAAGTCATCTGGTAGTAACTTTGTAGACCCCCCCACCATCTGTATATTTTTATAGGTTTTTATGTGGATATAGGTAAAAAAAAAAAAAAGTAGGCCGGGCTTGGTGGCTCATGCCTGTAATCCCAGCACTTTGGGAGGCTGAGGCGGGCAGATCACTCGAGGTCAGGAGTTTAAGACCAGCCTGCCCAACCTGGTGACACCCTGTCTCTACTAAAAATACAAAAATTAGCCAGGTGTGGTGGTGTGCACCTGTAACCCCAACTGCTTGGGAAGCTGAGGCAGGAGAATTACTTGAGCCCTGGAGGCGGAGGTTGCAGTGAGCCAAGATCATGCCACTGCACTGCAGCCTGGGCAACAGAGTTAGACTTTGAAAATGTCTTTTTTCAGGTTCTTCCATCCACGTTATTTTTTCAGGGAAGATGAGGACATTATCTTCCTAAATTGCTTCTAAAATTTATTAACTTTTCCAGTATCTGTTGTGTAAATGCATGCCAGACACTGCATGGGAAGATGGGGGATGGTGAGTCAAGGAAATCTGGAAGAACAGGACTTGTGAACTGAGGTTTGAAGTACATGTATGAGTTAAGCAGAGAATACCTGGCAGAGACTGCCAGTGCAGAGGCCTTAAAGGAAAGAGAGAAAACATGCTTTATTTGATGAGTTGAAACAATTTTAGCTTGATGATTTATAATTTTTTACATTTTAGAAATAGATGAATGGCGTGTTTTTTTAATTTTTAAGCTGAATTTTGCTTCTAGTCATTCCCAGTATATTAAAGCAGATGACTTGTGGCTTACATGAACGTTATAGAAATATGAGAATAATATAGAAATATTATAGAAATATGAGCTTAATGGTCATTAGCTCATCTAGAATTGTAACTAAGCAGTGAGGGAGAATAATTGGAGAATAAGCATGAACATCTGAAATAATTGCTAGGTTAATAAGTTGGCTGTAATTTTGCTCTAGGAAGAGCTTAAGTTGAGATATCATTTATAATTCTGGGCCCTTATTTTACTCAAATGCCTACATAAATTTATAAGTTAAATGACTGTGGAAGCTTCCTGTTCAATTCTCAAAAAAAAAAATTACATGTTGATTTATAAATTCTCTTTTGGTTTCTTTTTCTTTATTTTTAGTTTCTATTTGAGTATTGAGAAACTAATACAATTAAGAAGCCATAAAATTTTCCCTTTAATAGTCTTCATAGCGATTGAGGAAAATATGACAGTAATTGGCCAGAGTTTTCACTTTTTGAGAGGGGGAAAAACATTTCCTAAGATAAAAAATTGGTTATTTTCCATAGTAGGTAAAACCTGAGAAGTTGCATGAGTTTGATTCCTAGAAATGTTTTTACCATGAGTAAAATTTGTTTTTACTAAATGGGAATCCTAAGATACCACATTGCCAGCGTCTAGCTTATCCAATGACATACAGTTTCTAAATTGACTTATTTTGTACAGAAAAAAGATTGCTTATTTTATATGAATTTTTTAAATGAAAAAATGGAAAGTTTTCCCCCCTTTTGGATAAATATTTAAGTTAATTTGCATGTGTTTACTAAAAGGGATAATTTTACCAAAGGGACAAATATTTAATAACCAAGATTAAGAGATACTACTTATTTTACTGATTCTAGTATCAAAGTCTGAAACTTAGTTTTAAACAGAACCCTGTAAAATGTTTTGATGTCTTCTGGATACTTTTGGAATACCCAAAGACTGGTTAAAATTGAGAAAAGCGAAAGCACAAGAACAGTAGTTTCCAAACATCTCTCAAAACCCAAAAACATCGCGCCATTGCACTCTAGCCTGGGCGACAGAGCAAGACTCTGTCTCAGAAAAAGAAAATAAAACTCAAAAACGTTGGCAGATCATGTCAGTTTCTAAATTTTCTTTTCTAATTTTATTGATTTGTAATATCCAAAAATTAGGGAGAATTGCCTACCTAGGTGGTATGAGGAGAGAAATATAAATAAGAATGTGTTGATGTAATAGTAATGACATTTTTTAAAAGACAGTGGTATTACATGAAATAAAATGTTTTTATGGGTGTTAAGAGTAAATGAGGATTATAATGGAACTTTGATCACTGAATTAGAGTTCTGATACAATTTTTTAAATTGATGAATTTTAAATGAATTTATATCTGTATTCTTAGTAATTATGTGAAAAGCCTAACATTTGTATGTTTAAGAATCAGGTTTTTTTAGTACATTCAGGTAGGCTGATTTAATAATTAGTAGAAAATTATTAAATGCTAGGATACCCACAAGTATAAAAATTTGTGCATAATGTCTGCATGATAGATAATCCACATATTAATAGTAAAGTCTATTCTCTAGTCACACTGGCCTCCTTGATGTTCCTTAAATTTATTCCAGACATTCCTCCCTTAGGGCTTTTGTCTACATTAGCTCTTTTATCTGTTCTAAAGATATTTTTCCAGATAGCTGCTTTGCTAGCTGCTTTACTTTCTTCAGATCTACAAAAATGTTAACTTCTCATTGAGATCTACTGTGACCACTCTGTTTAAAATTGCCACTTCTATCCCCTGCAGAACTCCTTATCCTTTACCAAGTTCTCCTTTTCCCCTATAATACTCATCACCTAATGTACTGAATAATTTACTTATAGTTTGTCTCTTTTGTATGTTGCTATATTCCAGGAAGCTACAATAATGCTTGGCATATAATGGCACTATGAATACTTGTTGAATTAAAAATCCACAGTGGGAAATAATTGTATTTTACAAGTTGAATTTCTAAAAATTCAAAGGTCTCAAAAAAAGTAAAATGAGTTATTTCAGTTTATAACAAGATGTATTTTCATGAATATAAAATTGTGATTGGCTGATACCTTTACTGTGACAGGTTAAAAAAATGTCTTTATTTTTAGAACACTAAAAAGAAACTGTTCTTTTGAATTGTCTAATACCCCTAAATATTTAAGTATTTCAGAGTAAGCTGCTTTCACATTATTTAGAATTATGTTGATGTATAACATAAGAGAAAGATTTATACTTTTTTTTTTTGGAGTCAGGTTCTTACTCTGTCACCCAGGCTGGAGTGCGGTCGCTTGAACTCCGCTCACTGTAACCTGTAACCTCCACCGTGTGGGCTGAAGTGTTCCTCCCACTTCAGCCTCCTGAGTAGCCAAGACCACAGTTGCAGGCCACCACGCCTGATTAATTGTAGAGACAAGGTCTTAAGTTGCCCAGCCTAGTCTTGAACTCGGGCTCAAGCAATCCTCCCGCCTCAGCCTCCCAAAGTGTTGGGATTACAGGCATGAGCCACTGTGCCTGACCAGATTTTTACCAGATCTGGCTTCTTTAATAGATTACTTTTGGAATTTAGTGCCTCAGTGAACATTGGATTTTAGAGTTTTTAGTTACTTTTCAAGGTAGTTTGCACACATTTTTTTTCTAATCTTTTTGAAAGCTTGATATTAATAAAATACTATGAAGGAGACTAGCAGGTAATATGGTGAGTTAGGTTACTCAGATTAGCTCTCTCACTGAAAACAGCTAAGGCTGCTAGGTAGAATTTTAAGAATGTCTTATTAACATTGAACTTACAGCACTAAGGAATTACCAGGTCAAAGCCTAATGGACTGGGGAGGGAGAAAAAAGGAACGCGAGGAGATAAGCAGAATGCCTAAACTGTTTTGGCCCTGAAAGCAACTGCCAAACTGGGAAGACTTGAGCTTCAATTTTAAACGCTTCAGGACCTCAGGCAGCAAAAGTCAAAACCCAAGGCCTGCCCAAGGTACAGTGTCCAATGGGATATCCTTTCCCCTTAAACTATGTGCTCCAAAAGCTACACTCAGGATGACAGTGATCTAGAAGTAAATCCATGCCACCTTCCTACCTGTAAGGGACTGAGAAAAGTTGCGTCCGTCTGAGTAGAGCAGAATGGGGGAATCCTGAGATGTTCTTTATGTGGATTTGTGTGAATAAACATCACCTGAGAATGATTCAGAAAAACTGAAGCCATGTATGTAAAGTAGACTCAGCCTGAATTATACCCCTAATAGGTGGTAATAGCTTATTCATACCCTTTCTGGAGGAATGCACCTTCTTCCTACGCCTCAGAGAGTTTCCACAATAATCTTTGAAGGGAAAGGAACAGATCAGTTGTTAAAAATAAGCATATAAGGAAACCACATACATCAGAAACAGACCTCCAAAGACTTCAGAAACTAGAATTTAGATAAGATTAGCTTAATAACACAGGTGAAGAGAGAATTGGAGAACTGAAGGCATCCAGAATGGAGCTTAAAGAGCCAATTAGATGGAAAATATGAAAGGGATATCTGAGACACAAATTGATAGTGTGAAAATGTGTCTACTTGAAGTTCTAGAAGTAGAGGAACTACATGGGGCGGAAGCACAATTTGAAGAGAGAAATACTGAAATTTCCAGAATGATTGAAGGCTTCAACAGATTCAAGATGCTCATTGAATCCCAAGCAGTAATTTTAAAAATTCACAACTGGACACATGAGGATGAAACTATAGAAAACTAAAGTTTTTTTTCTTAAATCACATAAATGGTTGGAAACAAAAAGATAAATGACCTTCAAAGGAATGGCAGTAAGGTTGGTAACTTCACAGCAGCAAGGGAAGCTAGAAGACAGTGGAATTGACTCTTCAGTTTGCTGAAAGAAAATAGCTGTCAACTTGAAAGTTCTGTACCCAGAGTCATGTTAATAAAATACCATTGTGGAAGTTACGCATGCATTTTTGAACATGTCCAATTGTAGGTATAACTTAAATACATATATTAAATTACAAGCTCATTTATTAAGTATCCAGGTTTCTCTTCATATTTGCTTCCTAGCCTAAAGTCACTCTGTTCCAATGAAAGTTTTCATAAGTGAAAGGACTCTTACTGGAATTTGAATTGGTGGTCTGTTTTTAGCTTCACTTTTTTCAGGGCAAAAATGATTATGAGTTTTATTTTTATGTTTATTATAAGTAGAATTATAAATCTCACTTGATTGGTTTAGTGCCACAAGTTTACAGTTTGGGCATTAAACAAGTAGTTTCTTAAATGCTGAATTTCAGTTAAAT
Organism: Homo sapiens; assembly: GCF_000001405.40. Taxonomy (NCBI): domain Eukaryota; kingdom Metazoa; phylum Chordata; class Mammalia; order Primates; family Hominidae; genus Homo; species Homo sapiens. Next base: position 33,124,411 of record NC_000011.10, on the reverse strand, counting down.
TTTTACCCAAGTATATCACTTCAATTTTATTGTTAAATGTTTATAATAACCCTTTGACTTGGTTGGAAATTAGTATTTTTAATAATCTTGAGTTACGCCAGTGTCAAATTCCATTCATTAGTATTCATTTTTTAGGTTTGGAAATTAACTAAATGAACTAAATTTTTATGGTAGTGCCTCTGGACTTTACCAGTTTGTGTTAAGGTTGATAGTTTTCTTTTTTAAATGCTTAAATTATACTATGTTTAGAGGCTGCAAAGGTAATCCTTTACATTAAAAAATGTTAAATAGTTTTGACAATATTATACATCTAATTTCTGTATGCATAATGCATATTGTGTTTTATTTGTACATTTTTTGCAAATTTTAACATTTTGGGGGTTTTTGGAATACGGTTTTGAGAATTGATGAAAATATAGATATGTGTTTAAATGTAAAAACTCAAAAGTTATATGTCACCTAGACATTCCATATATATGTGTATTTATATTCATATATGTATACACATATGTATATGTGTATATATTAAAATAAGGTTCAAAAATCAGAAGATAACAAAAGAAACCTACAGTGAAAAGTCACCTACCCCTGTTCTTGAGGCACCAGTTCCCCTCAGAGACAATGTTCAGAATCTAGAGATGTTTAATGCACATACATTCATGTGTTCTGTCCTTTACATTAATAAATATCTATTACATTTTGTTTTGCACCTTTTTTTTATTAAGAAAGTAACTTTTGGAAATCTTTTTCTACAAGTACATAATATTCTATGTTTCTTTTAACTTGTCTCCTACTGAAGGACATGTAAGTTTTTTCCCTGTCTTATATATTATTACAGACGGTACTGCAGTAATTGTGTACATATCATTTCCATTTGTGTAAATATTCTTGTAGATTAAATTCCTAGAAATGGAATTGCTGGATCAAAGAGTATATGGGGTTTATTTGAATTTTCTATTTCCTAATGTTCTTCCACAGAGGTTGTCATAGTTTTAAATCCCATTGATAATCCTGTAAAGGGCCCATTTTTCCAAATCCTCTTTACACAATGTTTTATAATCTTAATTTTTGCCAGTACTTATAAGTAAAAAATGGTCCTCTCAGTGTGGTTTTCATTTGCATTTCCCTTATGAATGAGATTGAGCATATTTTCATTTTTAAGAGCCCTTTGGATTTCTTTTTCTGAGAACTAATCTCTCTAGTCCATTTTTTTGTTTTTTTTTTTCATCTTTACAAGAGCACATTAGGGAAGTTAAGGGAAACTTTTAATGTTAGCACAATTTCCCATTTAGAAGTTGAAATAATTTTGATAAAACATTTAAATAATGTGTTACATTTATTGCTTTACCTGTTTTTCTCATTGTCAGAAATGGAAGGAATGATAAATATGTTCTGAGATAAAAGAACATACTTTCCTTTGTTATTTTGATGTTCTTACTGACCTGTTTTACATACTTTTCTTTTCTTTTTTCTTTTCTTTTTTTTTTTTTTTTTTTTGAGACAGGATATCACTGTGTTGCCAAGGCTGGAGTGCAGTGTGTGATCACGGCTTAGTGCAGCCTCCACCTCCTAGGCTCCAGCAATCCCCCCACTTCAGCCCCTCAAGTAGCTGGGACTACAGGTGCATGCCACCATGCCCAGCTAATTTTTGTATTTTTTTGTAGAGACAGGGTCTTGCTCTGTTGCTCAGGCTGGTCTTGAACTCCAGGACTCAGTCTAACCACCAGCCTTGGCCTCTCAAAGTGCTAGGATTACAGGCTTGAGCCACCATGCTCGGCCTATATTTTCTTTCAAATGTGTGTTTTGTGCTTAAGTATTTCTTCTGTTGGCCAAATCTCTGATTTCCCATTTTAATTAAGTCTTAATGTTTGCAAATTATTTTTTTCATCTTTTTAAGCTTTTTATGTTGCATCTCAACATTAGACATGAGGAGACTCACATACTGTTATATAATGAAAATAGTTTTGTACATATATATTTTTTTCCTGAAAACTGATTTGCTTATGAAATAGTTATGAAGAAAAATCTTGATTCACATTACAGATTTTCAATAAGGTCATGTATATAGAGAATAATAAGGTCATGTATATAGAGATATCAAAATCATGAAGGCATCTTTCAACAATCAGATCCTTTTGAAGTGAGTTTATATATAAGGATTATATTCTATTAACAGTAAACATTTCAAAACCAGTTTTCTTTCCCATTGGTGAGCTAATTAAATACTTTATAGAATTTGGTTTTCAACATGCACACTTTGCTATCCAACAATGTATCTCAATTGTAGTAATTTGAAAGCTAATCCATAGATTATTTTATATCTTGTTTCTGTGCATTTTGCAGTAGGATGATGGGATATGGGGAGAACAGAAAGTGGTTTTATGCCTGCTCTCCTTTCCTTCCTCAGGTTTAGGTATTGATTGGGAAAGGGCTGCCAGGAGCTCAGTTTCTTTGAGAAACAGCATTAGGAAACTTGTTGTTGTTGTTAATTTAATTTTTTTATTTCTTACATGTCACAGCTTTTGATAATCTGATATCTCTACTGACCTGTTATAGTAGTCATGGACAAAATTAGACCTGTATAGTAGAATCAACTAGGAAGAATGGCCATATGTGTTTATTAGATTTGGGGAGCCTTCCACTGCAGACTTCATTTGCTGGTGAAAGTATCACCACCTTAACCCAGAGCTTGCCATTCAGGTTTTTTTCCCTTCAACTGTCTTTACATTTTAATGACAGCACCATAAGGGTCTGTTCTTAGAGCAGGAATATCAATATAATCTTCATTTCATTCTTGCCTACTAAAGCCTTCATGGCAGCTTTCCATATAGCATTTGAACTTAATTCTTTACCTTTGGTGGCATCACTTTGGAAAATATCACAAATATAATTAGAGGAGGTAAAATGAAATACAAACATTTCAAACTATAAAATAAGATTCCAGAGAAAATAGGATATGTTTTCGTTAAGCCTTTAAATGTGGCCGTGTTTGGAGAAATGCACTCAGGAATTCATAAAGTTAGGAAAAAGTTTTAAAATCTAGTAGATTTTATGAAATAATTTTATAAATATTCTGGAGATAAGTACGTAGACTGAAGCCATTAAAATAGAGCCAAAATTTCAATTTTGGAACATGCCCATTAGAAAAAAGAAATTCACGTCTAAATCTTCTTGATTCTCCTGGAACTTAATATTTACCTGAATTTTTTCTTTGTTTTTCTTAATTGGTTAGCTATGTCTACTTTTCAAACCTCCAAAGTTCCTAATTTCCCATCTTTTACATGGCTATTTGAAACAGCATTTTTGCTTCAAATAGAAATCATGTTTTCATTCAAGAAAAGTAATGGAAAATGGAATTGATTTGGGTGTGCTCACGGAAAGATCGAAATCCTGTGAAAAATCTAACTTTCAAAATCCATATTAGAGCTTCAATTATTCCTCCATTTTAGTCTGAATTTACTGATAGTATTATACTTAGCACCCTTTCTAAACCTTTTTATTGAAGTGAGGTTTTAAATTAATATTTTAACAAGGATTATAGGACTCATAAAGACCTTTCTGTAAAAGTTATACATTTACATTTTTCATTTCCCTTGATATTTAAGACAGTATAATCTAAAACCTATTTTTGAATGAATATGTGAATAGTAACTGGTAGTTTTATCCACATTTATTTAGCAATTATTATTGAATGTCTGCTATATGTTAGGCTTTGTTCTAGGTGCTGTGAAATAAAAAACGTTATGCCTTTGTGGAATTTTTTAAATTATGTTGACTCGCTTGTTTTCTGAGTAAGCAGAATAATACCTAGATGGACTACTGAGAAAATACACTTAACCTAAATACATGCACAAATAATATTTTTGGAATTAAGTGGTTGAATTTTAAAAGGCAAGCATAATGAAGTAATATCAAGTGATTGAAACCTGAGAGATGGGAGGGAAAGTGGAGTTTGTCAAGATTGTTACAAAAAGGAAAACATTTTTCTTATTTAAAAGGGTAATATATGTGTTTATTATAAGAAAAAAACTCTAATGGAGAAAAAAACCATATTCCCACTACCTTTGAACTATAACTTAATCACAGTTAACTTTTCCAGATCTGTCTATAAAACCTTAACTTTTTGTAGCTTGTTTTTTCCACATGGTAGCATATTTTTGTGTTATTTAGTCTATAAAATCGCTTTTAATGGTGGCACAGTAGTACATCCTAGATACATGCTGTTTAGCCAGTCCTAATTATCATTTACAGTGTTTCCAGTTTTTGTTTTATAAGAATCTCTTGCATGAATACAATTTTATTTCAATATTTTTACATAGTCATAATTGTTTCTTTAGATTGACCTTTTAGAATTCATATTTTACTATCAAAGGTTGCTGTTGCTGGTGTGATCTTTTGAATTGAGCTGGGTAATGATTTTTTAATCTTTCAGAATTTAAGTAAATATGACCAATGTGTACTTTGTTCAAGAATAGAGAAACAGGGTTGAATAAATATACAATTTTGGGGAAAACGATGATTATTTGATAAGCATTTTCTAAAAAGGAACTTGGAATTAGGTCACTTCAACAACAAAATAGAAATAAACTATCCATATAGGATTGAGAAGGCTAGAATTGGGTCATAATACAAATGTTGATTGTATGTTCTTGGAAAAAGTGATAGGGTATCAAAAACAGTTGCAGAATAGAATTAGAATATAATTTCTGATGTAAAGTTAAAAGTATTGGAGTAGCAGTATTGATAAAAACTAAAGTAGTCTGAGGAATATACTGTGAGTTTTATAGAATGAGGAAATGGGCTATTTCTAAAATTATGCTTCTCTACTAATAGGTAAAAACTAGAGGAGTGGGCAAGTTGCTTAAAAAATACAGAAAAGCAATCCATTGAATTTGTATCTACTTCATTGTGGAAGTTTAATCCTGTTTTTGGAAAGTGATTTTTAAGAAAGGTTAAATGAAGCATTACTCATGATACTGGGTATCTACTATAAATGTTATACTTGATTTCATAGAATAAATAAATGTGTACTTAGAATTAAATTGCCAACAAGAAAGTTACATGGAAAAAAATGTGAATTCATTGGATGACACTGAAAATTAAGTAAGAGAAATAGTATTCTGATAGGAATCTCTATCAAAATGGGAAAGATTGTCTTGATTAGTGAACTAGAATATCTCAAGTAGAGGAAATGACTAAAGGCTTTTGTCCAGTGATAATACAATTGCTAATATTTTTAAACAGCAGTTTTCAATTTGTATGTAGTGAGAAGTACAGTAAGAGATGAATGAATTATAAACAGTTTTAAGTAAATGGTTTTCTGAACAACTTCCCCTCTGCACATTAAAAAAAAGTCATGTGACTAATGGAAGATTAACTCAGCAAACAAAAGTGAGATTAGATATTATAATATTTTATAAAGCAATATATAAAGTTCCTGTAGTAATACTAGAGAAGTTATATTGTTTAATATTTTAAGTTTGCCTGGAAGGACTTTTATTAAGATGATAGTTCATAAAAGCTGCAAATTAAGGTAGAAAAGACTATAAGTTGATGTGCAATAAACTAATATTAGACGTTTGAGGGAAGCAAATCAGCAATCTACTTGATTACCATTCTGGCTGTGCAGTATGGAATTAATGTCATTTTTTGTTTTTTTTTTTTAGATCAGAGGTTTATGAACTTGATTTCTTGACTTTCCTGATAGCTGGAGCGTCTCAAATGATTGTACACATTTCTTAGTCTCAATTTTAATTAACCTTTAGAAAGATCTATGCCACTCAGCAATTTTGAGGAGAGACAGGGGAGATGACCTAATGGGAGGTAGAGTAGCAAAACCAATTGAGCCATGAATGTTAACTAGTGATTTTGATACTTCTGGCTAAATTACTCACTTTTCTCAAAAAGCAAATACCCTGCTGTATTTTTCTTACCCCAAAATTACAGATTATTCTTTGAAAGGTAATGTTTGGCATGCTGTTGACAAGTTATTTACAGAGTTTAGATGTTTATTAAGTAAAGTAGGCTGAGTCTATAAATGTTAAGTGATGGTTGTTGATAGATGCCCTATATATTGGGACAAAATCAAATCTGAGCCAAGGTTTTACCTTTGAGATTCTTGACTGAAATTAGTATTGTCTAATTTATCTAGCATTTATTTAACTTTTTAAATCCTCATAGGCCTGGCTAAGAATTTGAGAGGATTTAAAAGTAGATTTTAAAGTGGGGATGTTTATGTTCAGAGAAAAATACCAATGAATTACTCCGAAGAGAAACTTACCGTTCAAAATCAGCTGTAATTTTCTTTCTCTTATTAAAAAAAAAAAAAAATCCCTAATCTGTCATGAGATTAGAGATAAAAAAGAAAATGTTGAGTTATTTTTTAAAAATCCCAACTCTCTCCTTTGTGAAATTGATATGAAAATAAAATGTAACTGAGACAGAAAAATTGTCTCAATCCTTCCAGTGAAAATAGTTTTGGTCAACAGTTATTGTGTGCATTTCTTCCTACTCAGTATATATTTTTTGGATTTCACTTCTTAAATGTACTATGGATATATTTCCATTCAGTATTATACATCATTGCTTTTAAAGTTCCTGTGGGTGTGTATATATCTATATCTCATCCCATTGTTTAGACAAAACAATTACTTAGACAAAGCACAGTTTAATCATTCTACCTTTTGGTAATATAGGTTCTCAAATTTTCTGTGTACTCTTTCAATGAACATCCTCATATATATATATATTGTGCTGAGAGCAGTATAGTATAGTGGTTAAGAGCTCAGTTGTGTGATCTGGGGGAAGTTATTAAATCTCCTTGTGCCTCAGTTTTCTCATCTTTAAGTAGGGAATAGTACTTTACCTGAGTGCTGTTTATGGATTAAATGAGTTAATACATATAAAATCTTGGAGTAGTGCTTACAAACATTAAATATTTAATAAATGCTGCTAGTATTAGCAGTATTTAGTCATTTTAAATTATAAGAAGCTGAATTGCTTCAACTTTTAAGTGTGTAATAAGCAATGAGTTTCTTATTGCCAGATCCTTCGTATACCCTTATTTTTGACCTGTGGCATATTCCACCAGATCCCTTTTTCTTATAATGTTCATCTTTGACTTCATACATATTATTATATCCTGTTTTTCTTATGTCAAGTACTCTGGGGTTCTCTTCCTTTTTGTTGCCTGGGAATGGATAGTTTGGAGAAATGAGTCTTTGCTTGTCTGAATATTCTCTACTTCAGAGAATATACTTAATGCCTTAGGTATTGTATACCCTACATATTTATAAGAAAAGTTTTTTTTACAAATGACAAATATGCATCTTTAATTCCACTGTCTTATTGATGAAACCAACCCCCATCTGCTAACTTTAATCAGACAATTTATACCTGAGTTGTGTCACCTCATAATAAACCTAATAAAAAGTAAACTTTACAGCAACTCTCATAACACTTTTCATTCTTGTTCCCATTAAAAAAAAAAAAGTCTGTTGTTCTTCCCTCTACATTACTGGTTTTCTCTCCTTGTTCTACCTTCTCTGAGCCAAAGCCAGTATTACCCCACTTAAGGATGACAGCAATAGCATCTTTCCTATTGTAGCTAGTACCTGCTTGTCTCATCCCATAGCACTAAAAGCCACCTCTGTATTCTCCCCAGCCTGTATTCCCTAACCTACTTATGAGTCATCTTTTTTCAACTTTCCTCATTGTTTACCTGCCAGGAAAACCTCAGTGGCATTCAGTAAGGTTTTCTGTGTGTCAGATTTAACTCTGCCTTTTTATGCCCTCTGTAATGGACCTTCACCATAATCAGCCAACTTATTTTTCCTATGCATATTCTTTTTTTCTTGCTTGGATGTCCTCATTATTCCACCAAAAACTAAAGAAACTCATGTTGTTTCATTGACTTGTACAGACTCCTTTTTTTCATTAATGGCCTGGATACCATCTGCTCAGTGAAGCTTTCCTTGTTAACTCTAGTTTGCATGGAACACCTTTTCCTCTGAATCTTATAGGACATAGAGCATACACAAAATAATTTAAACTTAAATTTAGTCCTTTATTGTTTCCATCATTAGTTTTATGTTTTCAACTGGGTCATAAACTCTTTAATAGTTCAGGTCCACATCCCCACTTCCACTTGGTAAATCCTAAGGACACATGACAAATACTTTTTAGTTGGCTTGGGAAAGTGGAAGACTAATTAATACCTAATGGTTAGTACAAGGAATTAAAATGAAACTAAATTTAATCTAGACCCAAAGATAATCATAGTTTTGTTTAGCACATTTCAATTTTAATCATAATTAAACTATACTTCACAGTGGTCTATAATTTACACTCATTTTTGACAAGTAGTTCTGTGATATATTTAAGGGCCTGGATAATTGAAAGTTTATAGGACATGTAGAGGTTGTGGCCAACCTGTTATATCTAAATCAGTATATATTATAGGTATACATTTGTATGTACATATTTATATTTTTAATTTTATAGACAGAATCTCACCATGTTGCCCAGACTGGTCTCAAATTCCTGGCCTCAAGTGAGTGACCCTCTCCCTTCGGCCTCCCAAAATGCTGAGATATAGGCATGAACTACTACACCTGGCATTTATATCTATATTTAATATGAAAATACAAATTGCAGAAACAATACAATTTATCATAGGAAAATTAGGAAGTACAGATAAAGAAAACTATTCTTTAGGTAGTGGCTGCCTCCCAAAATATAACCAAAATATAATTCCATGAGTTATGACTTAGTTTAATCCACCACTTTATCTCCAGTGCTAGAAAAGGGCCTTAATTATTTGTCACACATAGTAGGCACTTAATTATTTGTCAAATAAAAATGAATTTATTTGCAGACACTACTTTCCTGATTTCTTTACCTTAAAATTGGGAGTGGGTGGTGGAAAGAAGAATATTCTGCAACCACTCCAGCAGCTAACTTAAAAGCCTGTTTGTAGATCTTAAAATGTCATTCTTCAATATTTCCAAATTCCTTAAAACGACTTGTATTCTGTAATCTTCCAAGATATTTTTCAGGTTGCAGAGGATTAGAGAATAGCTGAAAAGAGTAGTGAAAAAGTAAATGAACAGGAGATGAATTTATATTTAGGATTCCATTTGCTTTCAGATTTCAGGATTTGGCTAAGCTTTTTGGATAATTAATACAAGTAGAATCAGACAGCTTCTCTGCATCTCAAATTCAGTTTAAGATGATTGTCTTAAGTCCTAGGAAAGTCTATGTGCTATACTTTAGAGTAGAAAAGATGCAGGGAACAAGTTAGGAATGCGACTGCAATTCATTTATTCGTTTGTTCACATTGTGAACAACTACCATAAGAACTCACTTTAGATGGATCCTAGCCCTGCCTCTGCTATGTGCCCAGTACTGTCTGAAAACCTAAGTGTTGACTTGTCCCAAATGGTTATTGTGTGAAAACCTACACAAAGTATATAGAGACTTACTTTTTCCTTTAGATTATAAAGCTTCTTGGTGTTCCTCTATAGAGTTATGTCAGGTTAATTTATTTATCAATTTTTTTTTTTGAGACAGAGTTTCGCTCTTGTCCAGGCTGGAGTGCAATGGTGCAGTCTCGATTCACTGCATCCTCCACCTCCCGGGTTCAAGCAGTTCTCCTGCCTCAGCCTCCCAAGTAGCTGGGATTACGGGCGCTTGCCACCATGCCCAGCTAATTTTTGTATTTTTAGTAGAAATGGGGTTTCACCATGTTGTCCAGGCTGGTCTCGAACTCCGGACCTCAGGTGATCCACCCGCCTCGGCCTCCCAAAGTGCTGGGATTACAGGTGTAAGCCACTGCACCCAGCCTCAAATATGTTTTTAAACCATTTCAAGTTAATTGTATAATGATTCTTATAACTGGTGATTTTAAAAACAGCGTACTTTTTAAAACTTTTGACTTTATGGGATTTTTTTTTCCCCAAGGGATAAGGGAAAAAATTGAATTTGAGGAAACCTGTCAAAATGCTGTTGACATAGAGTTTTATTTCTCTGGTCAGAAAAATGTGAATTTTGTCGGCACTTACATCAGCATTTCCTAAAACATCCAATGAAGCATGAAATATGTTCCTAACATTAGGAAAAACTCATTTATTTTTGAACAAGTGAATATCATGCTTTCTTTAGATCTCAATATAAATATATTCCAGGGAAAGGACATGGCTAGTCTAAACTGTTAAAAATAGATGTTAGTCAAAGGGTCATTAGACCTTTTCTGGCAAAGTTAACACTTTAAAAATTAAGTAATTAATTTTGTTTTAACCTATTAAGTAATAGGTGATCATTAGTTCCAATAATTTATCTGAGGATAGTTTTAGTTCCAAAAGATACGTGATGACCAATTAATGCTTGGGAAATAATTGTGGAAGTTAACAAAGGCCTGGAAATATGAAGTATTCAAAAGTATTGGGAAAAGATCTGTGTTTCCTCATCATGTTATACTTGTTTTACTCTCCCTAAGATAACCACTGATTTTTTTTTTTAAACAGAGATGGGGCCTTGCTATGTTGCCCAGGCTGGTCTCAAACTCCTGGGCTCAAGAGATCCATTCACCTCAGCCTTCCAAAGTGCTGGGATTATAGGCATGAGCCACTGCACCTGGCCGTTAACCACTGATTTGAATGTAATTAAACTTAAAGGTTAATTGATCTTGATATTGCTATTCTAATTATCATACTCTTCTATTAAAAAAAAGGAAGTTGAAGATTTAAAAAATTTATTATTTTTTCTCAATAGACACTTTTCATATCTTTGTAAAATTTGGATAATTCATTAAAAAGGTAATGTAATTGTATGACAAATTTTTATGATAGTATGTGTACCAGATAAGTATTTATTTGTTTTTTGTTTGTTTGTTTGTTTAGACAGGGTCTTGCTGTGTCACCCAGGCTGAAAATGTAATGGTGTGATCATAGCACACTGCAGCCTTAAACTTCTGGGCTCAAGCAATCCTCCCACCTCAGCCTCCCAAGCAGCCGGGATTACAGGCATATGCCACCACACCTGGCTTAAAGTTAATTCTATTAAGAGCCTCTGTCATTGAAAATGATGCACTACTTTTAATAGATTAAATATAAGCAAGTCTTAGTAAGTTTTGCAAAATTATTTGTATGCATATAATGGTCTTATTCATTTATTTATTTATTTATTTATTTATTTATTTATTTATTTTGAGACAAAGTCTCACTCTGCTGCCCAAGCTGGAGTGTGTGGTGCGATTTCTGCTCACTGCCACCTCCACCTCCTGGGTTCAAATGATTCTCCTGCCTCAGCCTCCCGAGTAGCTGGGACTACAGGCATGCGCCACCATGCCCAGCTAATTTTATATTTTTAGTAGAGACGGGGTTTCACTATGTTGGCCAGGCTGGTCTTGAATTCGTGGCCTCAAGCAATCCACCCACCGAGGCCTCCCAAAGCACTGGGATTACAGGTGTGAGCCACATGTAATGTGGTTTATAATGGTCTTTAAATGGAGACCTATAATGGTCTTTAAATGGAGACATTTTCTATTGATTAATGGCAGGAAGTTCTGAGAATCCCAAATGTCAAAACAAAGTAATCTTAGGTATCAAGAATTTTTTTTTATTTTTAGAATTTAAACCAGGCTTTGATTATCAGGTAGAATGGAATACTTATAGCTAAGATGTTTTCATGTAAATATTAGTAAGTAATACATAGGATAATAATCTTTTAAAGAAGGAAAATGGTGGGATGGCTAAAGACAGGGTATTGGTGTGCTAGTCTCACCAATAATGCCATTTGAATATGGCCTGCATTTTTCCTCTGCATCAAATGGGCCAATTATAGTAACACCATTGCTCTTTCTGGCTACTTGGTTTACATAGTTCTGTTTAGAGAAGATATAATGAAAAGTTATACTCCTTTAGTTTATAGCTTTGTTGACTAGTATGATTTATGGGCACCTGGAACATCTAGATGCTTTATATTCTTTTTAATTCTTGATAACCCTTTGAAATGGATGTTATTATCATTCCCATTTTATAGGTGGAAAAGCTGATACTGTAAGAGAGGAAGTAATTAATGCAATGTGATCAAATTCTTTTCATTTTGTCACACTGCAGATTTAATCTCCAAAGCACATTGATGATTTTTTTTTTTTTTCCACACAGAGTTTCGCTCTTGTCACCCAGGCTGCAGTGAAATGGCACAATCTCAGCTCACTGCAACATCCACTTCCTGGGTTCAAGTGATTCTCCTGCCTCAGCCTCCTGAGTAGCTGGAATTACAAGTGTGCGCCACCATGCCCAGCTAATTTTTGTATTTTTAGTAGAGACGGGGTTTCATCACGTTGGCCAGGCTGGTCTCGAATTCCTGACTTCAGGTGATCTGCCCGCCTTGGCCTCCCAAAGTGCTGGGATTACAGGCATGAGCCACTGTGCCTGGCCAATGATTTTTAAAAGTATTTTTTTAATGAATGATGTTTTAAAAAATAATGAGATTATAGCTATTGTGGTAAGGCCACCAGTACCAGCTCTGTAGAAGGTCTCTCAAATAATATTTACTGGTTGCATTAATGAATGACAATCAGTGGCCACGTACTAGAGATCAGAGAATTTTTCTGTATTAGTCAAAAGTGTCTTTCTACATACATTTATTGGGCTAATACCAATTTACCAATTAAAGAAATAATTGATGAATCCAAGATATGGGACCACTTTGTTGGGGACGGGTATGCAAAATTTGGTTATTTCGTAGATATACATAATAGACATAATTTTTACTGAAATGCATAGATGATAGTAAAGTCTTTTTTCTTGTCTCTATTTTTGCATCCACCCGTATCACCCTGCCAACCATAATTATGTTTAACAACCTTGTGGGTATTCCTTATTTTTCTCTATGCTAATAATACATAAACATATATAGGATTTATTTTTATTTATTTTATAAAGATAGATTATATAAATTTTACTATCTTTTCATTCAATAAGATCTTGTGGCAATTCCTCCCAATTACCTGTTAAAGCTGAATACATAATATTCCATGATGCGAATGCATCATAATTTATTAAACTATTTCCCCACTGGTGGACATTTGATTTTTAAACTGTTTTTGCTACTACAAAGTTTACAGTAAGTAATCTTGTACAATTACCTCTCTATTCTGTTGCTTTTATTTTTATTTTATTTTTTTAGATGGAGTCTCTTGCCTGGGCTGGAGTGCAGTGGTGTGATATCAGCTCACTGCAACCTCTGCCTCCCGGGTTCAAGTGATTCTCCTGCCTCAGCCTCCCGAGTAGCTGGGATTACAGGCGCCGGCCACTATGTCCAGCTAATTTTTTGTATTTTTAGTAGACACGGGGTTTCACTCTGTTGGCCAGGCTGGTCTCGAACTCCTGACCTTGTGACTTGCCCACCTTGGCCTCCCAAAGTGCTGGGATTACAGGCGTGAGCCACCATGCCCGGCCTGCTTTTATTTTTATAGGATAGATCCTAGGAGTGGAATTCCTGCGTCAAAAGATACATTTTTTTTTTATTAGAATAGCTGTTACTAATGGCTTTTCAAAAATGCTGTAACAATTCATATTTCCTCCAGCTGTGTATGAAGTGCCTTTTCATTACATGGCTTCAGTAGTGTTAATACCTTTGTAAGTTTTTGCCATTCTAATGGTTTTTAAGTAATATCTATTATTTTAATTTGTCTTTCCCACATTGGAAGTTTACACATTGTCATATAGCTTTTAACCATTTAAATTTTCTTTTCTGGGAATTAACTATTAATATTCTATGCCTATTTTCTCAATGGGTAGCTTTGGTTTTCCTGACCAGTTGTGTGAACTGTATATAATCTCAACTGCACCTAGGAAGCTGGTGATTTAAATTCATCCTACTTTATTCCCACTCTGTTTACCTCTACTAAGCCAAGCAGCCGAATGCAAGGAAGCTTCAGGTTCTATGGGAATCTCAAAGAAGAGGCCCAGTAGAGGGCCTAGGGAAAGGACTAAGAAGCTGACCCATAGAAAATTTGGAACCCCTCAAATGTCTTTACCCCAGACGAATGTTGACATCAGCCTGGCCTCTTGGCTGAGTCCTCCCTACTCTTGAGTAGAGATTTCTTTCTGGTTTCTTGGCAGAGGGCTAGCAGCAGCTTGTTTGCTGCCTACACCTGCTACACAGCTGTCATGGTAGAGAAGGGTCAATTTCTACTACTTTAGGACTGCCAACACAGCTTCAGTGAATAGGCAGGAAAAAATAATAGCACATCTGAAGGATCCACCAACCAGAAAGGAATATAAACTAAAACTATCAGGTCCTTAACAAAATAGAGCTGCTAGAGGAGAAATACAACTGGAACAAAGTAATATGAACACAGGATTCAAAGTGCTGTATTAAAAACTCTGGAGTCTAAAACCGTTATGTATGAACCAAATACAGTAATAGGCTAAGTGGAAGAGAATATTCACATGGAGCCCTAAATGAATTGCCTGGGGAATCTACTGGACAAACTATTTTAACACCTTGAGCAAAAATTCAAAGGAAGGGTAAAGATAACAGATTTCAAGGACAGAACCAGGAGATCTAACTTATATAGTTCTAGAAGGAGAAAAAAGGAACAAATAGAAGAGAGACACTTATTCTTGACCTAAAAAAAGCCCTGAGTATATGGGTTCAAAGGGCATGCTGAGTTCCAAGCAGATTTTGTGGTAATAAAAGTAAATGATAATTACTCAGTGCTCAACCTGCTAGGCAATATTCTAAAGGCTTCACATTTATTAACTCATTGAGTCCTCAGAATAGCCCTGACAAAGTAGGTATTATTATCCCCCTTAATCAGCTGAGGGAAAAAGAGGTTAAGTAGATAGCCAGATTGTGAACCTAAGAGGTCTGACTCCAGAGCCTTGATTGAACTGCTTCAAAGTACAAAGAGCTGTGTTTAAGTGTGTGCTAAAATTTATGAACTCTAAAGATCAAGATAAAAAAGTCCAGAAGAGAACAAGTTATCAGCAAAAGCAAAAAAGACTGTCATCAGCATTCTCACCTGCAGTAGTTTAAGCCATAAAACTGGGAATACTACTCTATTACTGTACTACTTGAGATAAAAGGACCAAAACTTCTCTAATCAGCCAAAATATTTATTTACCTATCTGGGTGAAACAGATTTGCTGATTAACACAGTTGAGCACCTAACCCCACCCACTCTGTGATGAAAATACTCAAAGAAAAGAGAAATCTAATAGTATTTAATCTTGGTCTTTGCACATGCTATTTCTCCTGCCTGGAATAACTCTTCCCTTTCTTCAGCAAATAGCTCAGATTCTCCTAGAAAAAGTTATCTTTTTCCCGGAAATCTTTTGCAATTCCCCAAGTCTAAGTCTTTTGCTCTTCCAAAATGCTGTAGCACCCAGTACTTTCTTCATTTTAGCACTTAACCATAATATCTTACAATGACCTTCCACTTCGTTGTCTTATTTTCCCCATAAGATTGTAAGCTCTATGAGGGCAGGGGCAGACCTGTCTTGTCACAGTGGTAGCCCCCACGCCTAGCACAATATCTGCAATATATTAGGTTGATGGTGTGACTGAATGTTTATATGTAGTCCAAATTTGCATATCTTTTTTGCCGCTCAGATTGTTCTGGTAGCTATACAGGGAAAGGAAAGCCTTAAGTTTTTCTTCAGTGGATACATCCTATTCAGGTAGACCTATCGGGTATGTGTATATTTCTGTATTCATCTCATGACTTTTACAGAATTTTATTAAATTCACAAAATTTATATGTAAATGTATGAAAATCCATATAGATTCAATTTACACAGGTATATTTACAATGCATTTTATCCATGTTTGCTTCACACTTCTGTTATTTTTGAAAGTAACAGAAAAATTAATAAGAAACTATAGGGATGAATTTGCAAAGTTGGTTAAAAATTGGTCAAAAATTCAGACTGATGCTCTAAAAAAATAGTATTAATTCTATATTTTTCTGTTTCTCTTCAGATTAAAGCTAAAAATTATGACAAGGTTGAAAAGGTGAGTCCTCAAATACTTTGAATTTTATATTGAAGTTTAACTTAAAACCTAGTATGTATAAGACAGATGTAGTAAAATGTTAATAATAATTGAATCTAGATAGTGATTTTTTACAAGTTAATTGTACTTATTCAGCTTTTTTATATGCTTGAAAATGTTCATCATAAAAGTTTTGGAAAAGGAAAAGAAAATAATTATACTCCCCTGACAAATCATGAGAAGCATTTTAATTATCTAAACTGAAAATGGGGAAATTATTTGCTTTTTATTTATAAGAGATAAATTCATAAAGGGAGCTGAATTTGTGTTTTTAATGTTCCATTTCATCTATGTCCATGTGAAATTTATTTAACTGGATTCTGATAATATATTCTTGTATTTAAAGCTATTTCAGAGATGCCTTATGAAGGTTTTGCACATTGATTTATGGAAGTGTTATCTTTCATATGTCCGAGAAACCAAGGGTAAACTACCAAGTTACAAGTAAGTGAAACCAGGATCTTAAGAATGCAAGTCATCTCCAGGCACACAGTTAATCCCACATAAACTCACACCTTCTGTTAGCCCCAAGTGGGAAGAATTATCAGGATTTGAAAAGTCAGGATTTCCTAAGAATTAGTAACCTTGAAAAAAGTGCTTCAGAGAAAGTCACTGGCATGAGTCTTACTCTGGAGAATTGAATCGCCCAAGCCCTTTCTATACTGAAACACTGTATAATTGCAACACCAAACCACTTTGTTGACAGACTTGTCAAATTTTTTCAAAAACCATCTTCATACTTGTGCTAGTACCACTTTTGTGAGGTCACAATGCAATGTGCTACTTAAGTGATCTAAGGGGTCTCTGACATTTGTAGTGATATAAGGGATCTCTGACAATTGTATTGTGAAGTTGCCATCCCCACTCCGAATTATACCCACCTCCCCATCTTTGCCAAATCTAAATAATGGACCTTCTTCTGAGGTGCCATTTTTCTATGTAACTAACAGGCAAGTTATGTCTGTTACTAAAATTCTGTCTTTATTGTCTTTTCCTGATTATACTTTTTGTTATGATTTTTGTGTTTTGAGACAGAGTTTCAGCTCTGTCGTACAGGCTGGAGTGCAGTGGCACAATCACGGGTTCACTGTAGCCTCAACCTCTTGGGCTCAAGTGATCCTCCCACCTCAGCCTTCCAAGTAGATGGGACTACAGGCAAGAGCCACCACACCTGGCTGATTTTTTTTCTATTTTTTTGTAGAGATGGGGTCTCCTTATGTTTGAGACTCCAAACGTAGCAGGGTCTCAAGCATAAGTTAATGTCCCTAGGCTGGTCTCAAACTACTGAGCTCAAGCAATTCTCCTGCCTCAGCCTCCCAAAATGCTGGAATTACAGGCATAAACCACCACACCTGGTCTGTTTATTGTCTTATATTGAAGTGGAAGTTCTTTTTCCCTAATGTACCCTTTACATTTTAACATAAGTTGCATTTTAATAAAACTATACTTTCCAGATTTCTACATTTTACTTTAGAGCTAAAGATCTTAATGTCTCATTAATGAGAGAACCACAAATTTCCACATTTGAATCTGCTATGTATAGAATTATGCAACTTAAATGATATAAAGATAAGTAAGACATGAGCCTTATTTTTGATAAGCTCACAAGCAGTAGATAAAGGAAACAATTTATGATCTTGACAAGCTTAACATCAAAGAACGACTTTATATACTTAAAAGATGTCTTTAATTTATGTTTATAGAGAATGTTCAAGTGTTGTTCTGATCCTGTGATCAGAAGCTACATTTTAGTTATATATACATTTATTATTTATTTATTTATAGAGACGAGGTCTCACTGTGCTGCCCAGGCTTGTCTCCGACTCCTGGCCTCAGATGATCCTCCTGCCTCAGCCTCCCAAAGCATTGGGATTCCAGGAATGAACCACCACGTCTATCTTCAAATAATAATTTATTTTTAATTTTTTTTAGAGACAGGGTCTTGCTCTGTCACCCAGGCTGAAGTGTAATGGTGCATTCATAACTCACTGTAACCTTGAAATCCTGGGCTTAAGCACTCCTCCCACCTCAGCCTTCCGAGTAGCTAGGATTACAGGTGCACGCCACCATGCCCAGCTAATTTTTTTAATTTTTATTTTTTTAGAGACTGGGTTTTGCTATGTTGCACAGGCAGGTCTTGAATTCCTGGTCTCAAGTGATCCTTCTGCCTCGGCCTCCCAAAGCAGTGGGATTACAGGCATGAGCCACCATGTCTGGCCTAATTGTAGATAAATTTTAATAACAAAAAAATTTAAAAACCACGTCTTTCATGTTCATTTCAGAGAAAAAATGGCTCAAGCATATGACTTTGCACTGGATAAAATTGGAATGGAAATTATGTCCTATCAGGTAGAGTTAAAACTTTTTAATGTATGCACTTAAATGTAAGAATACCAAGAAAGATATTAACATTTCATTTTATTTCTTAGATTTGGGTGGATTACATCAATTTCCTAAAAGGCGTGTAAGTATTTGTATAGTTTTTTTTTACATCTACAGTTGATTTAGCTAAAATATAATTTTTAGTTCTTTGAGAAATCTCCATACTATTTTCCATAGAGTTGTTCTTTGGGTAGATATCCAGTAGTGAGATTGCTGGGTTGAATGAGATTTGGTTATAATATAATTGATGGCATTTCTTATCCAATCTCAGGGAAGCTGTAGGATCTTATGCAGAAAATCAAAGAATAACAGCTGTCCGAAGAGTTTATCAACGAGGTTGTGTTAATCCGATGATCAACATTGAACAGCTCTGGAGAGACTATAACAAGTATGAAGAGGTAAATTAGGTCAGAGTAGTTGTTTATTATAAACCAAGCCATTTTAATTTCTATGCATTGTGGATTTGTAGATTATAGCCTTTCTGTATCAGTGTTACACTTTTTTTATTGATTGTAATGAAAGCACTATAATGTTTTTGCAAGGTTTGAGAGTCTCCATATAGTGTTATTTTTTAGAGGATACTCTGAAGAACAATAGTTCTTATAAAACTATTTTTATTCTTTGCTAAGCCATATCCACACATTCATACACACACATACACATTGTCATTGACCTATAAAACAGTACCTTTTGGGAATTATGTTTCCAATAGTACCTTTTGGGAATTATTTTTTGGTTGCTGTGCACCTTTTTCACCTGATTACAGTGATGTGATGATTGGTTTGAATTTGTGAAGTGTGTGGCTACAATCCAAGATCTTTGTGTTATTGGTATCTACTTTTAATAACTGAGCTAATCAATCTGAATACATAAATACACATGCCAAATAAGCTCTAGCATTAAAAGGAAGTTCCTTGGCTGGGCATGGTGGCTTACACTTGTAATCCCAGCACTTTGGGAGGCCGAGATGGAAGGATTGCCTGAGCCCAGTAGTTTGAGACCAGCCTGGGCAAGATGGTGAGAGCCCGTCTCTAAAGAGAAAAAAAGAAAGTTTTTCGTATGTATATTGTGATTTGGAAGAACTATATAGGGTAGTGAAATTGTTCCCTCACAGGCATCAGCTGTGGTTTTCAAACTTTATGGTTTTTGGATTTTAACAGTTATTGAAGATCACAAAGAATTTTTTGTTTTTATTTTTTTGAGACAGGGTCTTACTCTGTCACCGAGGCTGGAATGCAGTGGCACAATCACAGCTCATTGCAGTCTCAACTTCCTGGGCTCAGGTGATTCTCCCACCTCAGCCTCCCAGGTAGCTAAGACTACAGGCATGCCCCACCACTCTCAAGCTAATTTTTTGTAGAGATGGGGTTTCTCCATGTTGCTCAGGCTGGCCTTGAACTCCTGAGCTCAAGCAATTAGCCCGCCTCGGCCTCCCAAAATGTTGGGATTACAGGCACGAGCCACCATGCCTGGCCAAAAACTGTATTTTCCAAAACAAAAAATGTAGTGTGTAGTGAGAAGAGTGGCATTGTTTTATATTTTCACAAATCTCTTTCATATCTAGTGTAATAGAAAACAGCTGGATTTTCATATCTGCTTCCATTTAGTGTGTTATAATACTAAATGTCACGTAGCCTCTGTAAAACTCCTGTATTTTATGAGAGAGGCAAATAATGTCTTAGTGTTATAATGACAACTATTTTGATCTCATGGACTCCCTGAAAGGGTCTTAGAATCCTTGGAGTACTCACTGAGTGGTAATGTTTATCTTTCCTTGCTACTTCTGTTTGTCTTTTTAAAAAGTGTTATACAACAGAACTAGTTAGAAAAGGGCTATTAGCCAGGTGTGATGGCTAATGCCTGTAATCCCAGCACTTTGGGAGGCTGAAGTGGGAGGATTGCCTGAGGCCAGGAGTTTGAGGCCAGCCCAGGCAACATAGCAAGACTATGTCTCAACAAAAAAAATTTTTTTAATTAGCCAGATCTGGCAGGGCACACCTGTAGTCCTATGTCTGAGGCAAGAGGATTACTTGAGCCCAGGAGTTCAAGGTTCCAGTGAGTTAGGATGGCACCACTGCACTGTAGCCTGGGTGACAGAGGAAGACTCTGTTTATAAAAAAGAAAAAGAAAAGGGCTATCAAAGTCAAGCCATGGCTATTCACCCAGATGAATCTGTACATATTTTTTTTTTCTTTGAGACAGAGTCTCGCTCTGTCGCCCAGGCTGGAGTGCAATAGCATGATCTCAGCTCACTGCAACCTCTGCCTCGCCATTTCAAGCAATTCTCCTGCCTCAAGCTCCCAAGTAGCTGGGATTACAGGCGCACACCACCACACCCAGCTAATTTTTTTGTATTTTTAGTAGAAACGGGGTTTCACCATGTTGGCCAGGCTGGTCATGAACTCCTGACCTCAAGTGATCCACCCAACTCGGCCTCCCAAAGTGCTAAGATTACAGGCATGAGCCATGTCATTTTTTTTTCAGTAGAATCTTATATGAAATTATTGAGCCTTTTCAAATGATTCTATCTTTAAAAGTTCCTGATAAATGGAAACTTACTGCCAGCTCATAAGACATAAGCACATCCTCCTTGATCTTGGAAATGTATAATGTGATTGAACCTTTTTTCCCTGCTTTTCATGAGCTGTATGAACCTTTATTAAACAAGAAATCTTTTAAAATAAAAATTTAAAGTTATTTAGTAAATGAATAAATTAACTGTATTGTACTAATTTTTAAGAAACTATACTTAATTTTAAAATATTTTTGTTTTTTTCTAGGGTATCAATATTCATTTAGCTAAAAAAATGATTGAAGATCGGAGTAGAGATTATATGAATGCTAGACGTGTAGCAAAGGTATGGAATTCCATCAGGCTATTTTAATGATTATTATGAGTCTGTTGTTTACAGCAGAGCTTTCCCTGTCTGGTATTACTCTTGATATTTTCAGTCATTAGCAATCTTAACAGCAATTAATTGCAAAGTCTGAGGAGATGACATATTTGAAATGAAATCTCTCTTTGTAAGAACAAAATATAATAAATTGGGTTTAGAAGAAATTGTTTTTTAAAATATGGAAACAGAAGACATAGAGAGAGACAAGGCTCTACTTAGAATTGATGAAGTAATTCTTTTCCCTCTATTATTTGGGTTCATCTGAATATTGTATTACTCTGTGGTCTAATAACATAGCTCTCAGGGACACATTTTGATTGTGTGCATACCTTTCCATTCATTGACACTCTTGGAAGTTAGGAAAAATAGCCTATTAATACAAACTATTGAAATTTTAAAAGACAGTTTCTCCAAAGATGGCAATAATAATGCCACCAGATCTTCAATCCTATTGATCTGTCAACTCTTACATCCTGGAAAGTAACCTCCTAGATCACTTACAGAGAGGGCCCATGGGTGTTTTGTTTACCCACTCCTGGGAACCTGTTCTTGAGTGGGTAATACTCTTATCTTTCTCTCTACTCTTAAATAGTTTTTAGATTATATTAACAAAGTGGTATTTGGAAAAAGTAGGCATCTTGAACAGTCTTCCAAACTGATCTACCCCATCCGCCATATATCTCAGTTGTTCCTGGCTCACCAAAGAATTCTAAATCCTTGTTGTCTAGGAATATGAGACAGTAATGAAAGGCTTGGACCGTAATGCTCCCTCGGTGCCTCCTCAGAATACTCCTCAAGAAGCTCAACAAGTAGATATGTGGAAGAAATATATACAGTGGGAAAAGAGCAACCCTCTTCGTACAGAGGATCAGACCCTTATAACAAAAAGAGGTAACATGATTAACCCTCATGGGACTTCAGTTACATGTATGTTAGGCCACTTGGTATCCCCATAGGTTACTAAAATTTTCTTACCCCTAATCTTTTTTTCTTTTGTTCTTCAGATTCAATAATTCCTATAGATCTATCTCCATATTCACTGAACCTTTGTTTTCATCATATGCAGTCTGCAATTAAGCCCATCCAGTGAACGCTTTATTTCAGATACTATATTTTTCAATTCTATAAATTTCCATTTTAGAAATTTTTTATTTTTTATATTTCTTTTTTATGGTGTCCATTTCTTAGTTGAGATTCCTTGTGTGTTCATTACCATCTTTTTCTTTGTTTCTTAGAACATATTTATAATAGTAGTTATAAAGTCCTCATCTGCCAATTCCAACATCTGGGCCTTCAACCACCATGGAGTTTATTTTCTTTGATTGCTTTTTCTCTTGACTGTGGTTTACATTTCCCTATTTCCTGTTTAAATTTTTTCTTTTAGATATTGTACAAATGTACAAATGAAACATTGTAAAGACTGTAGATTCTGTCATCTTCCTCTGAAGAATGTTTTATTTTAGCAGGAAGTTAAATACTACTGTCAGATTACTTGGACTTTGTGGAGGCTTAGTTTTATACTATGAAGACAGGTCTGTTTTAGTTTTACCATTAATCTCAGATTAAATACCTTATTCTTGGGACATAGTCTTTACTCCTAAGACAATGAAAAGTCTAAGGTGTTTACCCCAACCATCTAATTGGATCGGACTCAAATTCTAAACTTCATCTCCCTTAGTTGCTGAGGTATCTATTTAACTCTTTCTGCCTTCCAGCTTTGTTTTCTGCTGGTCTGTTTGTATTCTTCCCTGTGTATGTACATTTTAGGGATCAGCTGAGGATTTGAGAACATTTATGCCCAGATTTTCGGGATCTGGCTTTCTCCTTTTGGGGATGTCTCCTCAATTTCCAGCTGCTCTCATAGGCCAGAACTCCATGTTACTTCAAGACAGTAAGACTGCAGCATTTGACTTGAGTTCTAGCTATCCCAGAAGTGCACAACATGGGCATGCGTTTGAAGGGAAAAGCCATATTTAAATATGGATCTCACCTAGTGTTGTTCTGTCTTTTTAAGGGCTCAGTCTCCTGATTTCTGCTTCTTTTGGTCATTTCCAGTACATTTAGATAGTTGCTTTTGTATTTGTGTTTTGTTTATTTATAATTTTTACTTGCTGAGGGTTGGTCTGATACAAACTACTCTGTCAGTGCCAGACTCTTAATTTGGAGCTTTATTGAATTCCTCAATCTTGCCTTGCTGTTGCCTTGCTATCTTACTTGCAGGTCTTTGCAAATATTGTTTCCTTTGCCCACTCCATTTTTGTATCTACCCCATCCTTACTCCACTTCACTTATTTGCCTCTGACCAGCTTCATCCCTTCTTCAGGTGTTGTGCTAGATGTCAGTTCCTTAGTGAAGCCTTTCTTGAGTCCCTAAACTATGTTAAGTCCTGCTGCTGTAAGTTTTCAGAGTATACTGTACTTTCATCATCATAATCCTTTTGATCTTTGCTTTCTGTCTGTCCTCCCCGTATACTGCAGACTTCTTGAATATAGGAAGTCTTACTCACTGGTATATTCACCGTGCCTTCCACATTCCCTGGCATATAGTTGGTGCTCAATAAGTATTAACTTAGGCTGGGTGCAGTGGCTCACATCTGTAATCCCAGCACTTTGGGAGGCTGAGGCAGGAGGATTGCTTGAGCCCAGGGGTTCAAGACAAGCCTTGGCAACATGGTGAAACCCCGTCTCTAAACAAGATTTTTTTTTTTTTTTTTGAGATGGAGTCTTGCTCTGTTGCCCAGGCTGGAGTGCAGTGGCGTGATCTCCACTCACTGCAAGCTGTGCCTCCCGGGTTCATGCCATTCTCCTGCCTCAGCCTCCAGAGTAGCTGGGGCTACAGGCACCCACCACCATGCCTGGCTAATTTTTTGTATTTCAGTAGAGACAGGGTTTCACCATGTTAGCCAGGATGGTCTCGATCTCCTGACCTTATGATCCGCCTGCCTTGGCCTCCCAGAGTGCTGGGATTACAGATGTGAGCCACCGCACCTGGCCACAAGATTTTTAAAAATAAGCCAGATGTGGTGGCACACGCCTGGTCTCAGCTACTTGGGAGGCTGAGGCAGGAAAACCACTTGAGCCCAGGAGGTCGAGGCTGCAGTGAACCATATTTGTGCCACTGCACTCCAGCCTACGTGACAGAGACCCTGCTTCCAAAAATAAAAAAAATTAATAAGTGATGGATAGATGGAGGGAACTTGGATGGATGATGGTGCCAGAAATCACTAAAGCTTTTTATTTCTAATTATCATTAATTTTTGAGGAGCCTAATTTGGTTATGATATTTACATTGATAGTTTTACAAATAATAATTATTTTAATTGAATATTGTTTGTTAATTTCTTCCCTTAGTTATGTTTGCTTATGAACAGTGCCTGCTTGTGCTGGGCCATCACCCTGATATTTGGTATGAAGCTGCCCAGTATCTTGAGCAGTCAAGTAAACTGCTCGCAGAAAAGGGAGTAAGTGTTCCTTCCCTATCCCCACTTTGATATTTTTGTGGTTTTGATATAGCAATTATTTACTGAAAAATATAACTGAATTTTGGTAATAAAGCATAAGTATTGAAAATTTAAGTTTACGTTCATATGAATCTTAGTGACACTCATATAATTAGACCTCCTTAGAATTAAAATAAACTGGCAGTTTTTTAACGTATCAAAGTAATGAATCATTTAGAGTACTTGCATGGTTATTTTGTAAGTTAAAATAATGAAAGGAGTTTTTGGAATTTTTTTAGAATCCAGAAATGCATATGTGTTTATGTATGTGTGTGTGTGGATACATATATATGTGTGTACATACATGTATGCTTTCTTAGACACATAAATAAAATAAAGTAGATGTAACTTTATTAATTTTATTCTCTCACAACTATATTAAAATTATTGAAGATGAGCTTTCTTTTTTTTCTACCAGGATATGAATAATGCCAAATTATTTAGTGATGAAGCTGCTAATATATATGAAAGAGCCATAAGCACTTTATTGAAGAAGAATATGCTTCTTTATTTTGCATATGCAGATTATGAAGAGGTAAGTAAAAATGTTTAGAGCCTTCTTATAATTCAATTTTTTAGTGCAGGACTGAACTTTTTTTCTGGCTGCTTGTTTGCCAGGCATATTGCTTTTGGTAGACAGAGATGATGCCAAATGAACAGTTATTAGTTGTCAGCTTATACTATATTTATGCTCAATGGAGATGCCATTGGGGGTGGGAGGTTATAGCCTTTGGATTCCTTGGAGCTCAAATCCTGCTTATTTATGACCATATGTTGATACTCACTTCTTCTGTACCACCTTAGAGTCGCATGAAGTATGAAAAGGTTCACAGTATATATAACAGACTTCTGGCAATTGAGGATATTGACCCTACCTTGGTGAGTAACTTTACAAATCTTTTTTTCCACCTTTACAGTCTTATCTAACAAAAAATAATTTAAATTTATATACAATAAAATTCACTGTTTTTGTTGTATAGTTCTATTAATCTTGACAAATAACATTGAGTATGGGATCCCCACCACAATTAAGATAGAAAACACCTCCACCATCCTCCAAAAATTCCCCCATGTGACCCCTTTGTAGATATAACCCTTCCCTCTGCCCTTACCTCTGACAATTACTGATCTGTTTTCTGCTAGAATTTTTTCTTTTTAATGCAGCAGTATAAAATAGATACAGAGGCACTTTCTCTAACACTTTCTTTGTGATCATGGTTTGAAGTCACTTTATGCCACAGAATTGTTGCTTAATAGATATTTCTTTTTAAATGAGGCGGGAGAAACCGACATCCTGGGAAGAAATTAGACTGAAACTCACTTTATGCTAAATCCTGCTCTATCATAGTGGTTTTCAAAGCCCCAAGTGCAAAAGTGCAGTGATGCTCTCCCATTGGGAGAGGAAGGGGACAGGCTTGTGGGTGTGTCTCTAGAACCTCTGCCTCAAGTCAATTATAGCTACACTACTTTTTCTTGTTAATGATTTATATTGGGATTCCACTGCTATAATTCCTACATTTATTCATCATCTTATAATTCATTCCACAAACATATCTGGCAAATATATTGCTAGAGTCTATGCATTGTGCTAGACTCCAGCAACATTAATGACAAACTAGATGAAATTCCTTTTCTTGAGGAACTCATAGTCCATCCATCCATCCATCAAAACTGGGTAATATAGCTAGACATTATCAATACTGGGCAAACCAGGACCCTACTAATTAGTCATTTGTTCACTAAACAAAACTGCATACTCATGATGTACTGGACACTCTGTAGGTGCTAGGTATAAAATGGCTCATAGTTTATCCATGAAGTTCTATTATATGTTGTTCGGAAAATAGAGTAGTGGGCTTTTAAAAAGAAACCAAGAAAATGTGAAGTTAAACATGTATTGCAGGCTGGGCGCGGTAGCTCACACCTGTAATCCCAGCACTTTGGGAGGTCGAGGCAGGCAGATCACGAGGTCAGGAGATTGAGACCAGCCTGGCTAAAATGGTGAAACCCCATCTCTACTAAAAAACAAAAATTAGCCGGGTGTGGTGGCGTGTGCCTGTAGTCCCAGCTACTTGGGAGCCTGAGGCAGGAGAATGGCTTGACCCCAGGAGACAGAGGTTGCAGTGAGCCAAGATCGCACCACTGCACTCCAGCCTGGGCAACAGAGCGAGACTCCGTCTCAAAAAAAAAAACATGTATTGTAAGACGTGCTTGTATTAAACCAACCCTTGAGTTTTTTAGATATTGACATTCATTAATGGAGTATGTTCTAGTAGTGTCACACTTTTCACTCTTAAACTTTAATTTACATATTCTAGAATTAGATAATGGTGATGATTGCACAACCTTGTGAATATATTTAAAACCACTGAATTGTAAAGGGTGAATTTTGTGCTATGTGAATTATGTCTCAATAAAAAAATAAATTAATTTGCATGCATCTCTAATACCAGAAAAAAATTAGTTTGTGGATTTAAATAGAATATTATCTAAATTCCTACTTTCTAATTTATTGGGTATTGAGGATTGCTTTCTTATGCAGGAAACATACTGTCTAATTTATAGAACACAAATACTTTCTTTTGCATAGGTATATATCCAATATATGAAATTTGCACGGAGAGCAGAAGGCATCAAATCTGGAAGAATGATATTTAAAAAAGCAAGAGAAGATACCAGAACCCGCCACCATGTCTATGTTACTGCAGCACTCATGGAATATTACTGTAGTAAGGTAAATACTGAAATACAAGTGTAAAGATAAAACAACTTCCTTCATCTGAGGTTCGTAAAAGAAAGGTGATTTTAGCTTCTGTCATTAAGCTTTTATTGCTCCATTTTGTAAAGGCAGTCTAAGTGTATCTGTGTAAAATTTTATGGAGCATCATCCAAATCCCCAACTACTTGCTAATTTATGCTTCATTAATCACTATATTTCTAATTTGTGCTTTATTAATCACTATATTAATCACTATTTCGTGATTTCTAATCACTAAACTCCTTTGAATAGTTTCTAGCTCAGCAATTTTTACTTAACATGATTTTAATTTGTTTTAATTCTTACATATTTTGTCATATGTAGGTATAATTTTAATATTCTTTCAAGTGTTTTTTATCTGACATTTCATGGAAATCTGTACTTTACTTTCTTTACTTGTAGGACAAATCTGTTGCCTTTAAGATTTTTGAGCTGGGGCTAAAAAAATATGGAGACATTCCAGAGTATGTCCTGGCCTATATTGACTATCTTTCTCACCTCAATGGTAGGTTGATTCTAGAATCTATAATGATTACTTAATATTAAACCATGTGGAATTATGTTGCTAGATTTCTTCCTTCTTGAATGTATTATAATTTTGACATAGCAGACAGGCACTTGTTAGGCACTCAAGAAATACTTGTGGTATATCAACCATGAATATATTTACTGAGCAATGGTAGATGTTTTTTGACTCTGCAGAACTGTCTTTATTCAGTAAAGTACCATCAGTAGTGGGATAAAGCTTCAGAGTCAGAGTCAGGAGACACAGAGTTGTTTATATTCATCTCTGATGACTCTGGGCAGATCATCTCCTGTTTCCTGGAAGGAAAACAAACAAACAAAAAACCCTCTAGCCACCAAAACTCAAACTCAAAAGATGCCCAAATAGTAAAGTAAAACACTTTGAGGATACTGGGGAAAAGATTCAAAAAGAAACATTTTGGTTTTTAGTATTTATTTATTTATTTATTTATTTATTTATTTATTTGAGACAGAGTCTCGCTGTCGCCCAGGCTGGAGTGCAGTGGCGCAATCTCGGCTCACTGCAGGCTCCGCCCCCTGGGGTTCACGCCATTCTCCTGCCTCAGCCTCCGGAGTAGCTGGGACTACAGGCGCCCGCCACCTCGCCCGGCTAATTTTTTGTATTTTTAGTAGAGACAGGGTTTCACCGTGTTAGCCAGGATGGTCTCGATCTCCTGACCTCGTGATCCGCCCGCCTCGGCCTCCCAAAGTGCTGGGATTACAGGCGTGAGCCACCGCGCCCGGCCGGTTTTTAGTATTTATTTCCCTATTCTGTTGTACGAATAACACTGGCCATCCTTTATTGAGTTCCTACCAGGCACTGTGCTAGATAATTCATATATGTATATCATTTAGTCTAGTTAACAACAGTGCACAATATGTAATTTCTTAACAAAAAAAGATGTAGTATAAAAGTTGGTTTTTTAGCTAGGTGTGGTGGCGTATGCCTGTAGTCTCAGATACTTGGATCACTTGAGCCCAGGAATTGGAGGTCACAGTGAGCTGTGATCACGCCACTGTACTCCATCTAGCCTGGATGACAGAGCAAGACCCTGTCTCTAAAAAACATTTAAAAATAAATGAATAGGCCGGGCGTGGTGGCTTATGCCTGTAATCCCAGCACTTTGGGAAGCCGAGGCAGGCAGATCACCCAAGGCCAGGAGTTTGAGACTAGCCTGGCCAACACGGCGAAACCCTGTCTCTACTAAAAATATAAAAAATTAGCTGGGCGTGGTGGCAGGCGCCTGTAATCCCAGCTACTGGGGAGGCTGAGGCAGGAGAATCGCTTGAACCCTGGAGGGGGAGGCTGCGGTGAGCCGAGATTGCGCCATTGTACTCCAGCCTGGGCAACAAGAGCGAAACTCTGCCTCAAAAAAATAATAATAATAAAGTAAATAAATAAATATAAATAAATACATCACTAAAAGTTGGCTTAAGAAAGAAATATGCAATTATATGTCATGTAAATGATTATAGAATTAGATATCATAGGTATAAATCAGTAATTTTAATATTTCAGAAAAATAGAGCATTCCATTTACCTAAATAATATAAAAGAGTAAAACTTAAATATGATTTTGTATTTCAGCTTAATGATTCTACATTCTGGGAAAAAGACTTAACTCCAAAAAATGAGATAGTGGGGCATTTAATATTCCTCATAAATCTTAAATTGTTTTGCCTAATTTTTTTTTAAAATAGTTACTAGTATATGTATTTTTATTTTTTTAAAAGGAGGATATCTGGTGTTAGCACTATTGTCTTCCAAAATCAGTGTCTTAGATGATTCTTTCATTCATCTATCCATCTATCCATCCATGAAACATTTATTCATTACCTTCTGGTTACTAGAGTCTGGGAATACAAAGATGAATAGGATCCAGAAAAACGTTTTTGTGGGGGAATCCAATGTGTAAATATAATTGCATCATCATTTGATGTTTCACTGTAGCATAGTTCTGAGGTTAGGTGTATAATCTTAAACTTCAGTTTTCTCATCTGCATAATGGTCATAATAAGAATACCTTTCATAGGACTGTTGAGAGGGTAAATGAGTTTTTGCATGTGTTTCACTTATATATAGAATGTTGTGATTATTCCATAAATGTTATGATGAGGGTGGTGATCATTAAAAATGTGCTAAATACTGTAATAGATTCCTGAAGGAAGTACTATGGAAGCACAGAGAAGAGAGTATAATTTAAGTTATAGAGCTATGCTGCACAATTATGGTAGTCACTAGACTATTAGGTATTGAGCACTTGAAATGTGGATAGCCTGGGCTGGGTGTGGTGGCTCACACCTGTAATCCCAGCACTTTGGGAGGCCGAGGCAGGCAGATCACGAGGTGAGGGGTTCCAGACCAGCCTGGCCAATATGGTGAAACCCCGTCTCTACTAAAAATATAAAAACTAGCCGGGCATGGTGGCGTGCACCTGTAGTCCCAGCTACTCAGGAGGCTGAGGCGGAAGAATCGCTTGAACCTGGGAGACAGACGTTGCAGTGAGCTGATATTGCGCCACTGCACTCCAGCCTGGGTGACAGAGTGTGACTCCATCTCAAAAAAGAAAAAAGAAATGTGACTAGGCCAAAATGAGTTGTGGTGTAAGTGTGTAAATACATACCAGATTTCAAAGACTTAGTACAAAAAAAAATGTAAACTATCTTAACAATTTTTCATATTGATTACATGTGGAAATAAGATTTGGATATATTAGGTTGATTAAATATATTAATTTCACCTGTTTTTACCCATTTTATTAAATTCCATATGTGGCTTGTATTATATTGCTGATGGACAGTAGTGTTCTAGAGGGTGTCATAGAGAAGGGCACATGAGTTGGATTTTGAGAGATGAGTGGTAGTTAGCCAGGTAAAGAAAGATAAATGCATTATTCCAGGCAGAGAGCACAACACATAGGCAGGCAGTGTGAAAGTTCTGTGGAATGGTAAAAAGTGTGTCTGGAGCAAAGCTTGGGATAAAACAGAAAAAGATAAAATGTAAGATTTGTTTAACATTTTTTAAAGTATAATATGTTAAATTGAAGAGAGAAGCCAAAAAAATAGCGCCATCTTCTTTGGTCTAATATATTTAATTTCTTGGTTTTATTTTGCTTATGGACATGTAATAAACTGAATAACTACTCTCAGGCAATAAAAAACAACTCCTCTGCTGGGTTAATTTTTCTTTTGAACAGCTTTATTGAAGTATAATTTGTATACTATAAGTCCATCCATTAGGTGTACAGTTCAGTGGTTGTTAGTAGTAGATTCAATGGTTGTTGTTACTGTTAGATTCTTAAGTTTTAAAAGATAACTTAGAGTTTAGCAAGAAGTGTCATTTTCCCACTTCCAGATATAGAGGACCTCCTGAGACTCTTAAAATTTAATACACCTCTGTCAACAATTCTTAATTCATTTACATTTCCATAGTTACCTGCCAACCTAGATATTGTACCTCTGCAAGAGTTAAAGTAGCTAAATATAGCATAGTCCTGGTGCCTCAAAATAAGAAACTCAATTATTTCTAAGTTTGAGTTTGCCATCCTTCCATGTTCAATGTATTTAAAAAATAGCAGTAGTCTGACTAATGTCAGCAGATATGTACTTGTCATTATTTTTAAAAGGCAAATGGGATACCTGGTTCAGACGGCACTGTTATAAATGGTTTTGCATTAGAACTGCAGTATAGTAGAGGAGGGCTGAACTAGAAGGGAAAAAAACATGGCTTGCAGTTACTGCTCTGCTACTCAATCACCAAGAGCCAGATCAAATCTCTTAATCTTTCTGAAGCTCAAGTTTCCTCATCTATAAAAATCAAGTGTGATAATAGTTAAACCTTTCTGCATAGGATTTTTGTAAGGATGAAGTGAGATAATGCATATGAAAATATTGTTGCATCGTAAAAGTGAATTAAAAAAATTAAAATCTTTTTCAATATCCTAGAGGACAATAATACCCGAGTTTTGTTTGAACGAGTTTTAACATCTGGAAGCCTTCCTCCTGAGAAGTCTGGGTAAGCCATTGTGAAAAGTTGTTGATCAGGTTCTAAAGACAGCTTTCTTACCTGAATTGTGGTCTATGGGGTGAATGTTTGCTTGAGTATGAGTTTCAAGAGAAATTTCCTTTCCTTCTCAAGTTTTATTTTACCTATCAGCAGTACTTTTATACCTGTTTAAAATTATTTTTAAATTTCTGCACAGTGATTAGAATTGTTTTTAAGAGATGCCATAGCAATTTATTATCATCTTTCTTGTATACTATATATCCCTAACCAGAAATTGTGGCTCATGTCTGTAATCCCAGCATTTTGGGAGGCCAAGGTGGAAAGATGACTTTAGCCCAGGAGTTTGAGACCAGCCTGGGCAACATAGTGAGACCCAATCTATACAAAAAATGTTAAAAATTAGCTGGGTGTGGTGGTGCATGCCTGTAGTCCCAGATACTGGGAGGCGGAGGTGGGAGCTGGAGGACTGCTTGAGCCCAGGAGGTTGAGGCTCCAGTGAGCTGTGATCACACCTCTGCACTCCAGCCTGGGTGACAGAGTGAGACTCTGTCTCAACAACAACAAAAAAGATACCTCTCTCTCTCTCCCTAGAAATTGATATTAACATGTTAAGAGAGGCATTCTGAAATTTTCACCTCCCTTACTCAAAAGCAAAGACTCTTGTAAATTCAAAGTTTGTTTTACATATTATGTCTCTGACTTACGGTTTTGTCTCGTGTTAGTTTTACCATACAGAGGAACAACACTGTCAAGTGGTACAGCGGAAATATTATAGTAAGGCTTTGGAGTCTTGGGTTCAATATCCAGCTAGATGGCAAATTTCATAGCTATACCAATCTTCACTTTCTTATTAACAATAATGTCCACCAGTGTAGGATTTTTTGTGATAGCCACATATCTGGTATATAAGAGGCACTTAATATATTACTTTAGTACAAAGGTGCATAATGACATTTAAGTAGTCTCAGAGCATTAATTTTAGCTGTTAGAACAACGATGAGGCACCAGTTTTTCCCCAGTGATCCACGTTAATGGGAAACAATAGCGTAATCATATTAGATTTTGGAGTATATTTCTATTCATATATTAGATGAAGAATGTATTCTACATTATAATTCCTGCCACTTAAAATGAAGCCACATTATTCAGGAGAAATTAGAAATCTGTCTAGGTTCCTTTTCCAACTTCTCCACCTAGAGTTTATCCTCTCTAAGGTAAGTCTCATGTTGACCACAAAGAAGCAGCAGCTATACTAAATAAGTAAAAACTCAAAAATGGGCTTAAATACTGAAGTGATAGGTTTATAATTTACTTTGAAATACTTAAGCAAAAATAAGATGAAGCAAATATGGCAAAATATTAGCAATATAGGTAGTGGTATATAGGTATTCATTATACTATTCTATTTTTCTATAGTCTAAAAATCTTTATAATAAAAAGTCACTTTTTATAAGTTAAGGGAAAAAGAGAGAGCTTAAGGCGTTTTTGTAAATGAACTCCCTGCCCTAAACCCAGAATAATTAAAGTATTGATTGTATTTCTTTTCTTGCAGAGAAATCTGGGCCCGATTTCTAGCATTTGAAAGTAATATTGGTGATCTAGCTAGTATACTCAAAGTGGAGAAAAGACGGTTTACAGCATTCAAAGAAGAGTATGAAGGGAAAGAAACGGCTTTACTAGTAGATAGATACAAGTTCATGGATTTATATCCTTGCTCTGCAAGTGAATTAAAAGCACTTGGTTATAAGGTATGTACTTAGGATCAAGATGTGGAGTGTCCTCACTTTTCCAGTGTTTTAGAAGAGTTCATTGATAACCTGCACTCTAAATTCTGAAATGTGAATCTAGTTTTAGAATAGATTTGCAGGAAGCAAGAAAAAAGTTCAAAGATTTTCCTTGGGTTTAGGAAATCCTGAGTGTCAAAGTAGCTGAACAAAATGAGAATTGAAATGGGATTTAATAGTTTCATTCTGTCC